>NC_000014.9:75823834-75975349 GCF_000001405.40 Homo sapiens | reverse complement strand
GTCACCCAGCCTGGAGTGCACTGGTGCAATCTCGGCTCACTGTAGCTTCTGCCTTCTGGGTTCAAGTGATTCTCATGCCTCAGCCTCCCGAGTAGCTGGGGTTACAGGTGCCCACCACCACACCCAGCTAATTTTTGTATTTGGAGTAGAGATGGGGTTTTGCCATGTTGGCCAGGCTGGTCTCGAACTCCTGACCTCCAGTGATCCACCTGCCTCGGCCTCCCAAAGTGCTGGGATTACAGGCATGAGCCACTGTTCTCGGCCTTTAAAATTTTTAATTTTAAATAATAGGGATAGGTCCTCCCTATGTTGTCCAGGCTGATCTTGAACTCCTGGGCTCAAGCAATCCTCCCGCCTCAGCCTCCCGAGTAGCTGAAATAACAGACATGTGCTACCATGCCCAGCTAATTTTCGTATTTTTTATAGAGATGGGGTTTCACCATGTTGGCCAGGCTGGTCTCAAACACCTGAGCTCAAGCAATCCACCCACCTCAGCCTCCCAAGGTGCTGGCTGGGATTACAGGCGTGAGCCACCATGCCTGGCTGCCAATTCTTCTTCTTCTTCTTCTTTTTTTTTTTTTTTTTGAGATGGAGTCTCACTCTGTTGCCCAGGCTGGAGTGCAGTGACACAATCTCAGCTCACTGCAACCTCGACCTCCCAGGTTCAAGTGACTCTCCTGCCTCAGCCTCCTGAATAGCTAGGATTACAAGCATGCACCATCATGCCTGGCTAATTTTTGTATTTTTAGTAGAGACGGGGTTTCACCTTGTTGCCCAGGTGCCAATTCTTTTTTAATCACTAGCAATTGTGTCCTAAGCTTTGCTTGCTAGTGTCAAGTTGCTTGTGTCAGCTAACTTCTGAGTGACTCTGGCCAAGACCCTCTAGACAGCCATTTCTTCCTCTGAAGAGGGTTGCGCCACATGACTCCTGATGTCCCTTCTAATCATGGGAAATCTATATATCCCAGTAATAGAAAAATGACCTTTCCCACCTCTTTCTTGAAACCTTAAAATTCTCCCCAGGATGTGTTCATCCTGGGGAGCAGATTATGATTGATAGGCTGGAAGAAACCAAAGAGGACGGCCACTAGGGTGTCCTGAGAACTCTCTTAGCTCATAACTTTCCCCATCTCCTGGCTTCCCACTGCCTTGACCCACTCTGACTGTCTCACCAGCAAGTGCCATTTTCCATCTCCCTTCTTTTTTTTCTGAGATGGAGTCTCACTCTGTTGCCCAGGTTGGAGTGCAATGGCACCACCTCAGCTCATTGCAACCTCTGCCTCCTGGGTTCAAGCGATTCTCCTGCCTCAACCTCCTCAGTAGCTGGGATTACAGGCACGCACCACCAGGCCTGGCTAATTTTCATATTTTTAGTAGAGACAGGGTTTCACCATGTTGGTCAGGCTGGTCTCAAACTCCTGATGTCGTGATCTGCCCACCTCGGCTTCCCGAAGTGCTGGGATTACAGGCGTGAGCCACCGTGCCCGGCCCCATCTCCCTTCTTTTTACAGCAAGGTGCATGTTGCACTGACTTACCCTTTATTCCTCTTGTAGTCACTGGAGCTGTGTTATTTATTTACTTTATTAATTTATTTATTTACTTGAAACAGAGTCTCCCTCTGTTGCCCAGGCTGGAGTGCAGTGGCACAATCCTGGCTCACTGCAATCTGGACCTCCCGAGCTCAAGTGATCCTCCCAGCAGGTGCTATTGTAACTGAAGCCATATCAATAACAGCTCCTTCAAAACCCAGCTCTGTTGTCCTTGATAGGGTTGCCAATGCAAGTAGCTTATCCACATTCAGAGTATTACAAACTTGTAAACTTACACATTACTTAACTATCACTGATTTCTCTCCTTGGTTCTATCTGAAATGGTTTAGGGAATCGTTGGCAGTATCTGTTCTTTCAAAGCCAATTATTAATCAGGGCTTCATTAGACAGCATTCACACATTTGTTTTCCTAACATCTGTTCCATTAATTTTCTAAGAACCAGCGTCAGGCCCACCAGATGGCAATTTCCAGAAACACTCACTCATCCTTTCCTGAAGATCAGTAGCGCATTTGCTTGTTTCCAGGCCTCTGATCCTTCCTGCCTTGTCTGTGACTTCCTCAACAACCCCTCGGGGTGATTATAAGCTCATTCCAGCCATGTCCATTATGTGTGGAATCTGGGTCTATGAGCTTGAATTTCAACTTCGGGCTATTGTTACCATTTGTGCAGAAAGTTTTTCTCTGGGTGTTAATACTGCTCAGACCTTGAGGCTGTCAAGTGTACAGGAGCAGAGAAAAGACAGGCTCTTTCTCTTTCTCTGGCTCAGAGGGGTGGGAAAGAGCATTCGCTGCCCACATCTTGTGGACAGGGATGAAGAGGCCAGCAGGTGACAGCGTCTGGCATAGCACGTGCTGTCAAGGAAAGAGAAAGGAGCCAATGGTGACACACCAGCTTGGTCAGAGGAAGCATCTGTGTTTCTGCCAGGCTCATGATGTGGGCTCTTTGCTATATAAGCCCTGCTTTATTGGGTCTAAAACACAAGGTTGAGATGTCACTGCACTGCTCAAACACTTTCAGTGACTCCCTACTGTTAATGGGTTAAAATTTAACCTTTTAGTCTGACAGGTGGACCCCAATCTATCATCTTGCCCTTTCTCACCTGGCTCCCACCTGCTGTTTCGGGCCCCTCTTACTCATTTGCATTTCCTCCCCTCCCTGCCTTTGCTTCCAGCAGTCACTCCATGTAACATTTCTTTCCTCCCCATCCTCAAATCCTCTCAATTTTCACCCCTTCCGTGAAGTGCTCCTTGCCATTTCCCTCCTTTGATTTCCTGCAGCAACTCCTGGACTTCTCTGAAAACCACTGGTTTCCTGTCGCTCCCCTCACCTGTGCTCCTGCATTGTGACATCTTCCGGGGCACTCTGTCCTATTATTTCTCTCTAGTCCTGTTATTTGGGCCCATGTATTAATACCCCCCCTTAGATATTAACCCATAAGCCTGAGGCTGCACTTTTTTGAATTTTGAAATCAGACCTTGGCCTTGACCTTGAGCAGCAGGATATAAATAACTCTTACATGCTTAGCGTTCCAATAATGGAACACCAGGCATAAATGGGTTTTAATCCCCTTGAAGGCAGGGGTTGTGTCTACTCATGTTTTGCTTCCCAAGGTTAGCACTATGCTTGGCATATAGTAGCTGCTCAATACATCTTTGATAAATGAATGAATGCCCAGATGAACAAACACACGAATAAATCAACTAGCTGTAAGATATGTAAACTACTAGGTGCTGATATCTTTCTAGAATCAGTATTTTCTCAAAAAGTAGGAAAAACGGGTTGGAAAACTTACCAGAACTGAGATGTCAAGGCAGTGGGAGGAGGGGGCAATTAGATTTGACTGGCCAGTCTAGTGCCATGTTGTGGAGCTCTGAGGCCACACTGCTCCTTGCTCAGGACTGTGTGTGATTCTAGGGCCACCAAGAATCTTCCTCGTATCTCCACCTTGCGGTCTGAGGCCTCAAGCCTCTAGGGAGGTGGCAGGCGGGACGGTGGCCACTTGGTGCCTGTCCGTTGGCAGCACACTGTTCCTGCATGTCTCGCTCATGCTGTGCCCTCTGCTCTGCTTTATCTCCTAGACGAACTGGCTGTCTGCCCTAAAGGAATTACCTCCAAGGTTTTCCGCTTCAATGTGTCCTCAGTGGAGAAAAATAGAACCAACCTATTCCGAGCAGAATTCCGGGTCTTGCGGGTGCCCAACCCCAGCTCTAAGCGGAATGAGCAGAGGATCGAGCTCTTCCAGGTAACTCCTCTCTCAGAGCAGAAACCACACCGACGGGAAAGCTGGTTCCTTTGCCATATCAGGGCACCACTGGGTGCAGCGTTTGGCAGACCTGGGTTTGAATCCTGGCTTCTCTGAGCCTTCGTTTCCGTATCTGTGTCTGTCATTAAAACACTTAAGAGTTAGCTAAGGTGCTCGAGGGCCATGGCATTCAGGAACCACTGGTTTCCTATCGCTCCCTCACCTGTGCTCTGCATTGTGACATCTTCTGGGGCACTCTGTCCTGGTCTCGGGTACTCACTCCTTTCTCTGCCCTGTAGATCCTTCGGCCAGATGAGCACATTGCCAAACAGCGCTATATCGGTGGCAAGAATCTGCCCACACGGGGCACTGCCGAGTGGCTGTCCTTTGATGTCACTGACACTGTGCGTGAGTGGCTGTTGAGAAGAGGTAGGTGGACCCTTCAGATAAGCATTTCAGAATGAACCTCAGGTCCCTTAGTCCTCCATGAAATGGAGGGAAGAGGACAGAATTAAGGGAGTCAGAGATCTGGGTTCAAACCCTAGCTTTGCCACTGAGTATCCTCCATTCATTCACTCAACTAATGTTTATTAAATGCTCACTGTAAGACAGGCCCTGGGGATGCAGCCACAGGGATAGGAACTATGAGAAATAGAAAGAGGGCAATGTGACAATGAGTGGGTGGAGTCCAACAGGGAAGGTCTCTATGATGAAGAAATTCATGCATTGACATCTGAATGATAAGGATTTAGCCCATGAAGATCAGAATAAGGGATGTGCTAAGCAAAGGCAACAGGGAGGCCCAGGCCCTCAAGTGGAAATAAGCTTGATTTGTTCTAGCAGCAGCAGCAAACAGATCGGTGTGGCTGGAGCATGGTGAGCTGGGGAGGGGAAGAGGAGGGGAGGTGGTCAGGGAGGTTGCTGGGGCCATATAATTTATTATTACTATTATTATTATTATTATTATTATTATTATTATTATTATTATTATTTCTTGAGACTGAGTCTCGCTCTGTTGCCTAAGCTGGAGTGCAGTGGTGCGATCTCTGCTCACTGCACCTCCACCATCTGGGTTCAAGCGATTCTCACGTCTCAGTCTCCTGAATAGCTGGGACTACAGGTGCACGCTGCCACACCTGGCTAATTTTTTTGTATTTTTAGTAAAGATGGGGTTTCACCATGTTGGCCAGGCTGGTCTCGAACTCCTGACCTCAAGTGATCCGCCCACTTTGGCTTCCAAAAGTGCTGGGATTATAGATGTGAGCCAGCATGCCCAGCCAATTTAATTTAGAACATCATCAGGTCATGGCGAGGTTTCAGGACTTATTCCAGGTGTGATGAGAAGTGTGGGAGTGCTATAACCAGAGCTGGGGATACTCAAGATACCCAGGAATTCCTTCCTGTCCCTCTACTGGGTGTGAAGTCAAGAGCCTAGGAGAACCCACGTGGATCTGCCAACGGCAGCTCTGTTGGGAATTCTGACTCAGACAGCTACAGGGAGGAGGGGCTGGGTGAGGTGATTTGATTGACATCTTTAAAAGATCCCTCTAGTTTCCAGGAGGTCAAGGGAAGAGGCAGGAAAATGAGTTAGGAGCCACGGCGGCAGCCCAGATGAGAGCAATATCTAGGCCGAGACTAGGGCGGTAGCAGTGGATATGACGATCAGATGGATTTGTTCTGTATTTTGAAGGTAGCCAGTAGCACAGGCTGATTAGGTATGGGATGTGAGGACACAAGAGCATTCCAGATAACTTCTAAATTTTTTCGACATCCAGGTGGTATCACTTATTGAAATAGGGGGCCTAGGAGAAGAACAGGTTCTGTTCTGCCCAGTTAAGTTTAAAAGGCCGGGTCGTCATGCAAGTAGAGCTATCCTGGAGGCATATCAAACTTCACATGTCCCAAATATCTTACCCACACACTGCCTTCACCTGGAAAATCAGGCAATGGTTCCTCCTCTATGTATGCCTCACAGAGCTGTTTTAAGGATCAAATGTATTTGAGAGAACTTCATGGTTTTTACCATGTTTTACAAGAGTAAGCTTTTCTTATTTTAGATAAGGAAACAGGCCGAGAGAAGTTAAGTGACTTGACCGAGGTCGTCCAGTCTGGATTAGAACTTTGGTGTCTCATGACACCATCCTCTGTGTTTCTTTCCCTTTTCTTGGCTGGTACTGCCTGGTCTGATGCTCAGTGGGTTGGGGTCACAGATGGCAGTCCCATCTGTTCCTTCTCTTCCTCTTGGGCAAGGTTTTCTCCTGTCATCAGCTGCTATAAAGCCACAGACCATCCACATATTGATGCCCAGAGTCCCTGAGGCAGGTGGATCCTTCTAAGTCCTTGGTGTTTTAGGCAACTAAGAGTTAAAGCTCAAAGGCAGAGCTTACAAACTATTTGGCCTGCACATTGTTTTCGATTTGACTAGTCATCAACAGTTTTGGGTGTTTTAAGTCAGGAGATTTCACATAAAACCTGGACTTCTTGCTGTTTTTGAAAAATCGAAAGATTTCCTGATAACCATCCGTCAGAGATGAGTACCGGCCACCCCTTGAGATGGGGTATGCATCCTCAGTCCCCGCAGCCCCCACCATTCCCTATTGTTCCCCAAGAGTGAGGCTGGCAGTTCCTGTTTAGCATCATGTGCTGGCTCGATTTTCTCACTTACGTGACCTGCCTGGGCTCGGTAGCCATCGAGTTTGCATTGCTTGATGCCACGGAGCCCAGGCAAGTCACATAAATGAGAAAATTCCCCATCCAAGGGGAATTATCCAGTGGCTGAGTTGGCAGATGGTGGGCTGAAGATCCTGCCCCAGTCCCAAGGGTACCCAGGAATTTCATCCTGTCCCTCCTACTGAGCATGAAGGCAAGAGCCTAGGAGAACCCACGTGGATCTGCCGACAGCAGCTCTGTTGGGAATTCTGACTCAGACGGCTACAGAAAGGAGGGGCTGGGGAAATTAATCTCTTAACTTCCCTGTCTGATTTTGATCAGCTCCACCTGGATTTCTTTGAAGCCCTGGGCACTTGAAGGAGTTCTTATTTTCACAGCTGCAGAACTCAATGAGAAGTTTGCATTGAGAATGATTTCCATCCTCCTGAGACATCAAAAAGATAATTTCGTAATAAAACCTATGGGTCCCCCACCCACCACCCCCACAGCTGCCAATTCTGAGGTTAGTTCTTCATTGGAACCTTCAGTTCACACTTAGGCAGATACTGCCCACCTTTCCCACAGGGGAATCATCACACAGGTTTGTACTTACAGAGAGCCCATGAGTCTCTTCAGAGTTCATGGCTTCAAACCAGGCAACAAAGGACTCCAAATTGGAGCAGTTGGCGGTGTAGATTGATGAGAAAACTGAGTCACACATGTGGTCTTGGATTCATTCAGCAAACATCTGAGAGCCCTTGTGCACCAGGTACCCAGGCTGCATTCTGGGTCGCAGAGTGGGTTGGAGTCCACAAGGGCCGCTGGGGACCCAGGTCTCATACCCTTGTGCTATTGCTCATATAGTCTGCAGCACCTAGCTAGGCAGGGCCAGGCCTCCCCTAGTAGGCTGGGGAGGGAGCCTCTCAGCATCATGGCTCAGGAAAGGTGGGACACTGGGAAACAACCATCTTGCATGTTGGTGAATGTGTGGGCATCTTCCTTGGTGGTCTCTGTTGCCCCCTCTTTACCCCTCCTTGTCTCTAACAAGAGTTTGGGATCTGGCATCAAGCTGTCAGTGCTTGAATCCTGGCACTACTATCCACTGGTTGGATATCTTGGGCAAGCTGTTTAATCTCCCTAAGCCTCAGTGTTCTTATCTGTACAATGGGGGATAATAGTTCTTGCTCTATGGGATTATTATAGAGATAGAATAAGTTAGTGATTGTTGTCATCATCTCTAAGTCCTCTATCTGGATACAGCCTGTTGGCCAAGCCAGGCCACCCTCTTGTGCTTACATCCTGGACCCTCACTCTCCCCAACACAGCTGTCTGCACCTTGACTTTCTAACTCACAGAATCATGGAACTCACTCACTCCAGGTCTCTTCCAGCCTGCCTTGAACCAGCTTGACCAGGAGGTACACTGTGTTGTTAGGTAGCCCATTTCAGCTACTTTGGCTCCTCCTTCCAGCTGCCTTAACCCAGGGAGAGGGCAATCCTCATACCTCCCTCTCCATTCACTTCTCCTCCAGCTGGGTCTCAGCTGCCTTGTTTTATTGGTCTGCCTTCCCTCACTGAGCGAACCTGCTGGAACAGAGATCTTCAAGCTCAGCAGGCGCAGTGTGCCTCAGAGGTTGCCCTGACTTAGGGTAGAGCAGATCTGGTTAGGCTCTGGAGTTTATGGAAGAAAGGAGCTGGGTTTTAACCAGTAGGACTGGGATGTCCAAGCCAACCTAATGTTGATGGGAATCTCCAGTCTTGTAGGCTTGTATCCTTCTGTCTATGAGAAGGTTGCTGGGCCAGGTTGGACTTTTTGGGGTTTGCCCTGATGGCACAATTTCAGGAAGACTCCAGGTTGTCTCCAAGGCCAGATGCTCACACACATGGTGTGTGGCCTCAGGGAGCAGCAAATCAATCAACTCATCGAGAGGCTGACCCTGAATCCAGAGAGGTCCATCCCCCATGACCTCTCCTACACCTGGCCACAACTGGCTGCTATCCCAGGATCAACAGAGCTTCCCAAATTAAGTCTTACCCACCAGAATTGACATGATACCAGATCCTACCTGGTTTTCTGTGTAAAACTACTTGTCTCAGTGCAGACTTTTCATTTTCTTTCTTTTTCCTTCACTTCACTCAACCTCATTTACTGAGTTCCTGCTTCCTTGATTTTGGTTGCCAAAACATGTGATCCCACAACTACTAGGCGAATGGGCTGGAGTTGCCCTTCACGCACCAGAATGTCAGGCACCAAACCCTGGCACCTCCAGGCTTCATCATGCTCACTGTCTCCGTGCTCAAGTCATCTGGACCCTCAGCCATAGTTCTCTATCATCTCCTCTGTGCTGTTTTCTAAGTTCACAACTGTCTTCCCAAGCTGTTCATCTTGGTGAGCAATCCACATTCCAACTTCCCATCATGGTGAACAAGGATTCCCAAAGAAGAAATGTCCAAGTAATTTTTACCTCGTTGTGTCCTTGTTCCTTAGGAAAAATATGGCCCAGTGTAACCGTGATCTTCATCTTATCTCTTCTAGAATCTGCCACTTTGTCTAGGCCCACAGTCATGGCCCTGGTAGAAATGCTTGCATCTTCCACTGAGACGGATTCTGCTTCCTGTTTGCAAGTGACCTTGCCTCTAGCATTGGTTCCTGACTTGAATCTTTTTGCCAGCATTACATCCTGTGGCTTTTTGAATTTGTGGCCTTTTGAATCACAGTCTCTGTGCTCGGAGACTCTTTAGTTACTCCCTGTCCGTAGTCTCTTCCAGTCCCTCTGCCTCTTGCCCTGATCCTTCTGCAGTAGATTGGCTCAACGATCCCCTCTCCCAAAAACCATGTAGATGGCATGAGTTTTTGCTTTCCTTACTGTATCTGTGTACTTTTGCCTCCAAGTAGGTAGGTGACAATTTTCTCTTAATACCATCCTTTCAAAGGGAATGATTATTCCACTTCTGTTTCATGATGGCCACTAGTGTATGCCCCCATTTGGTGATTCATAATACAACAGGAATACCTGGAATGTGGCAACGTGCGCTTGAAGGTCCACTCTGAGCTCTGGAGGCACTTTCTGTCTCCTGTGACCCTCAATAGAACTCAGTTCCTATGAGTCCCTATAGGAGCAGAGGCCCTGGCTCACCCTTGCATGGGTGGTGGGCACACTTCCCCATCACACAGAGGTGCTTTTCTCACTAATTCTGTCTTATTTTGCAGAGTCCAACTTAGGTCTAGAAATCAGCATTCACTGTCCATGTCACACCTTTCAGCCCAATGGAGATATCCTGGAAAACATTCACGAGGTGATGGAAATCAAATTCAAAGGTAACAAAATGAATGTGTATGGTAGGATGGGTGAGTGGGGGGGAAGTTAATGGGACAGGATAGTGCAGGAGACCCTTACCAGACCTCAAGAAAAGAAACCAAGCTCCTTCAGAGAGATAGCCGACTATTTTGTACTTGAGTAATTCTGCTTTGCCCCAAAAGCAATGAGTGTAACTTTCAGTTTATAGCTTAGAGAATGCATTAGCCTCTGGAAGACAACACGTACTGGTAAGTGGTGAAACTGTGTAGGCAAGCCATCTAGCCTCTGGTCCTAGTGAAATGGGATGAGAGTTCCTCTTTCACAGTGTTGTCAGGCAATTAAATGAGATAATGAATAAGGAACACAGTGCCAGAAATGCTCAACAGATAGGACTTGTCTTCCTCCTCCCTAAAAGAAATTAAGTTTGGCTGTCCTGAACATGAGTGCCCAGACAACTGAGCTTTCCAGATGTGCAGGGCCTACCTGACCTTGCCCAGGGGTCCTCTGGGTTTGGATGATTGCTTCGAGCCTCAGGGTGTTTGTCCCCGGGGTGTTTGGGTAGAGATGGCGAAGTCGTTGAGAGTCATTTCTGGTTTTCCATTATGTTTGCAAGGAACTCAGCCTTGATGATCTCTGGAGTTCAGGGAAGTTCTCTTTTCCTTTCATATTCCCATTTTGGGTAACTGCGGAACGCCTGAGGTCAGAGGCTTGTCTGGGAAAAGGTGCAGGCCTCTTTTGGCTCAGCGCTGGACAGTGATCTTACCCCACATGGGCTCTATTTTACAGCCTTTTCTTAAAGCCAAAGATTTGACACTGTAACCACAGAACCTTAGAGCCCAGAGGACCTTTGGAGTCCTTACCTACAGGCCAGCTTAGGATGAAACCTTCCCATTTCAGTGAATACTTATCTTGTTCATAAAGATTTTCAGAAAAAGGGATTTGTGATCCAGGTCTCTCATTTATCTTACAGATCTGGTGCCCCTTCCTGAGACCCGAGCCACTCCTGTAGCTATGTAAATTAATTCCTCATGTTCCTGTCCTCAGTGAGGATGGACAACAGTTGGCAGCTGTCCTTCGCAAAATCGATCTCCATTTAGTTGAGACTCTTTCTAAGTCAGTCTCCAGTCTTTTCCTTTTTTTTCAGATGAAACGGGTTGATGAATTTAGATTTTCTTTCCAGAGCTTATTTGCTATTTATCATATGCTTCATTATCTCATCTGAATTTTATAGTGAAAACACTTCAAAGACTCTAAGTGCAATGTGAATGTTAACAATTATACAGTCTTGTTTCTTTGGCTCCCATTCAGGCTATCTTAAGTTGTGACACCTTAAATTTTTGGTAGGACTTCTGCGTTATCTTGGTCCATTCACATTTTAAGAGGAAACTCACACCCCAAGATTCTAAGTCTAGAATCTAAAGTGACAATCCAGGGCTGGGTGCAGTGGCTCACACCTGTAATCTTAGCACTCTGGGAGGCCGAGGTGGGCGGATCACTTGAGGTCAGGAGTTCGAGACCAGCCTGGCCAACATGGTGAAACCCTGTCTCTACTAAAAATACAAAAATAGCTGGGCATGGTGGCATGCACCTGTAATCCCAGCTACTTGGGAGGCTGAGGCAGGAGAATCTCTTGAACCCCGGAGGCAGAGGTTGCAGTGAGCCAAGATGGGGCCACTGCACTCCAGCCTGGCCAACAGAGCGAGACTCTGTCTCAAAACAAACAAACAAACAAATAAACAAGCCGACAACCCGGAGATATGTGTTAGGTACCCACTTAGTAACAGGGATGCTTCATAGGTCCATGAAGATTCCTAGGAATCTCAGCAAGGGCTTTCTGCCCCTTGGAAGATTTCTATACAAGGGTATGGGGATCTGAACACGGGGCATCTTTCAGTGGGCATCCTTACAATAATAATGAGTTCTTTTGATACTGGCTTCTCCATCTGCTCTTCCCCTTTCTGCACCTGGACATCAGAATTAAGCTGCACTTGTCCCCCACACCTCCCTCGCAGACTGCACTGCCCCTCCTCCTGGGCAGTGATGGGGCGTGTGGAGGAGGCAGCCTCCAAGGGCTCTGCTCTCTTCAGACAGGAGATTGTCACTTTCCTTCCCTTCTTCAGGCGTGGACAATGAGGATGACCATGGCCGTGGAGATCTGGGGCGCCTCAAGAAGCAGAAGGATCACCACAACCCTCATCTAATCCTCATGATGATTCCCCCACACCGGCTCGACAACCCGGGCCAGGGGGGTCAGAGGAAGAAGCGGGCTTTGGACACCAATTACTGCTTCCGGTGAGACTGGGCCCACATGGGAACCAACATCTACTGCCTGCCTACTGCCCAATGGCTAGGTCAGGCCCCAGAGCCAAGCCACACTCAACAGAGGGTCCCTGATGCTATTCACAAACATCTCCAGGAAGAAGACTGAAAATCTCTCACAGAGATTTTCTCTGTGAAATCTCTTTCTGTTTTCCTGGGAGTCCCACTGTTTTTCCATAGGCTAACTCTGGAAGGAGCTGGCTGAAGTAAATGAGGAAAACTCTGTGAGGAGGAGTGTTGCTAAAATAGTTTGGATTGGAGAGGCTTGGTCAAAGCCTCTCCATGATTTCCATGTTTTAAGCACTTGTAGAGTGTATGTGTGAGATTAATGTAGGAGTTTCCATTAAAGAAGTGCTCAGTTAGTTCCCTATGAAGGGTCCAAGGATGCTACTGGATGGAGGCAAATAGAATGGTCTCCATTTGAACGGAAAGTTGGAGCTAGAGAAATTAACAAATGAATTCAGAAATTACTGGGTAGCCACAATAGAGAGATAGAAAAGACCCAGCTTCTCTTACTCAGGAGCAGTTTCACTGCTCATTTATAAAGGGAGGATAAAGTATGCATGCCAACTACTAAAAGGGAGAAGATGATCACGCCCATGAGAGGGTCCGAAGGATTAAGTGCTTTAACTGGGAGCAATGAGTTCACCTATGGACACAGGAAAGGCTTCAGAAGGGTGTGGAATTTGAGCAGAGGCTTCAAGGATGAGGTTTGGGGATGAAGGGATCCAGGAGGGGAAGCACTGCAGGTAAAGGAAGGAGCATGAGTGAGTGAGTCCATCTGGCCTCAGAGGATGCCGAAATGAAGCTGGGGAGAACGAATTGGGAAATATTTAGATCTGGAAACCATGTCTTATGAGGATGGTTGGGCTTGGGAAACTAGGGATGTTCAGTTGGGGGAACAGCTCAACAGCAAGGTATAGGAGAGGCAAGGTAGTTGCCACAAAGGCTGGCATGTAGATTTATTTATTCCATCAGTTAGGAACAAATCAGTTAGGAACGAATCAGTTATCAGTTAGGAACGAATCAGTTAGGAACGAATGATCTTGGCCAGTGACTTTAATCATAGTGATTTCTTGTTCACAAGAGGCCTGTAGCAGCAGGGTTAGGGTGGGCTGGCTGCTTAATGATGCCACCGAAGACTCAGGCTTTCTCTCTTTCCAGTCTGCCATGCTTAGTATGTTGGCTTTTCATCCTTTTCCTTATGGTCACAAGTGATTGCTAGGGCTTCAGGCACCTTGTCCACATTTAAGACAAGAAGGAATGAGGGAAGGGGAAGAGCCAGAAGCTTTCTTCTTCCATCTGTCACTTTTATAAATAATCGAATATCTTTGCCAGAACTTGCCCTTACCCCCTGCATACTTCTCCTTGTCTGATGGGTCATTACTGGGTCACATGACCACCGCTACTCTCAAGGGAGGACAGGAAAAGGAGCATCTGGTGTTTTCGACTCTGTAATGGGATGTCACAAGGGAGAAGGGAGTTAGGAATGGTTATTGAATAGATAACCAATGGTGTCTGCCATGGTTCACCCTTGGAACCCACAAGAAGCCAGATTTTGGCTAATAGCTGCCTTTGGAAGTAGCAAGTTCTAAGTCTCAGCAGATATTAAAGCAGAGGCTAGCTGTCCACTTGGCAAGCGGTATTATTGCCAAATGATCTCTGTAGGCAACAGAATTGAAGGGGCCTGATAATCACATTTGGGTGATCTGTTGAACCACGGTTCTAATAGAAGGATATGCCTTATTTGGCTAAATGGCCTTTGGATTGAGTCTCAGCAGTCACCTACTATAGTAGTCAAGCTGCATAAACTTAGAATTGATTTCTGTCTGGGTGCACATTAGGAGGGTAAAAATAAAACCAACCTCAACAAAGCTGAGTTGGCTAATAACATTCAGTGCTTGGTTTTATGTGGAGCGCTTCATAGCACTGCTTTGTATTGTGATAGAAAAGGGTGCAGGGCCACCTTTGCCTCTTTACTCTTCCTCATGCAGCATTTATCTCTGTTTCTTACATCCTTGGGATCCTGGTCTTTAACACATGAATGTGCCTTTCTGGTTTCTTCTGCCCCATGCCCTTGAACCTGGGATTCCATTGATCAGAGCCACCTATGATGGCATGAAAGGACTCCAAGGGAGAATATGAGAGCATTCATGAAGTTTCTTTTATTGGTGGTTTTAAGTTGATTTTCTATAAATGTTTTTTGTTGTAGCAACTTGGAGGAGAACTGCTGTGTGCGCCCCCTCTACATTGACTTCCGACAGGATCTGGGCTGGAAGTGGGTCCATGAACCTAAGGGCTACTATGCCAACTTCTGCTCAGGCCCTTGCCCATACCTCCGCAGTGCAGACACAACCCACAGCACGGTATGGAGCAGGCTCATGCCATCTGAGGCACTGGGGCTGACCGACCAGACCACTTGTTAAAAAGAATGAGTGAAGGATTGAATGTTGAGTGAGCAAATGATGGTCTGGGGTGAGTAAAATTCCTCTGGTGAAGGTTCTGATCTTGGCACCCTGACTCAGTTCTACTCAGTCACATTCTGCCCTTTTAAATTCCTACCATAGTTTCAACCAGCTTTTTAATTTGCTTTGTCCAAAGCTCTCTGTACCGTAGAAATTAATTAACTGCCACGTGTTACCCTATGTCAGAGATATGTGCATGTGGCTGGCAAGGAACACTGAAGTAGAAAGGCTTCTATCAGAACTCTGATCATTCCAGCCTCTCGAATGTAGAAAACTTACTCTGAAAGACAACAACAAGGATGGACAAGAAGCTAATTTGAAATGCTAGGAACAGAAAGTGAGATAGCCGAGAGTCCACAACCCCTGAAACTAGTCTGTCTTTCCCTTGAGGGGAATCAAAAATAGGGCAGTAATTTGTGAAGCATGTTTCCTTCTAGCTCATTGTTTCTGCATCCTGTCTGGGGCCCTGCACGCTGCACTTACTAAATGGCTCAAGGCAATGTTTTGTGAGAACATTTCTCACCGAAGTGATCAGTTCCAGCTAGGAAGAGCAATGTAAGTGTTTTCTTAAAAGCCAAGATAGGCCGGGCACGGTGGCTCACGCCTGTAATCCCAGCACTCTGGGAGGCCAAGGCGGGTGGATCACAAGGTCAGGAGTTCGAGACCAGCCTGGCCAACATGGTGAAACCCTGTCTCTACCAAAAATGTAAAAAATTAGCCGGGTGTGGTGGCACGCGCTTGTAATCCCAGCTACTTGGGAGGCTGAGGCAGGAGAATCGCTTGAACCCAGGAGGCGGAAGTTGCAGTGAGCCAAGATTGCACCACTGCACTTCAGCCTGGGTGAAAGAGTGAGACTCTGACTCAAAAAAAAAAAAAAAAAAAAAAAAAAAAAGCCAAGATAATTCGTTATCAGTGTAGTAACTGTCATATGCTTCAACTCATCACCCCAAACAAGTGCAGTTGTTCTGCTTCTGTCATTGTGGATGAACAGCAACTACACAACTACTCACTCACCCAAACCAGGTTCCAACAGTTTTTTTTTTTTTCTTTTTTTTGAGACAGACTCACTCTGTGGCTCAGGCTGGAGTGCGGTGGCACTATTTCTGCTTACTGCAACCTCTGCTTCCTGGATTCAGGTGATCCTCCCACCTCAGCCTCCCAAGTAGCTGGGATTACAGGCGCCTGCCACCACAGCCAGCTAATTTTTTTGTATTTTTAGTAGAGATGGGGTTTCACCATGCTGGCCAGGCTGGTCTCAAACTCCTGACCTGAAGTGATCTGCCTGCCTCTGCCTCCCAAGTCCTGGGACTACAGCTGTGAGCCACTGCACCCGGCCCCCAACAGTTCCTCTTAAAGAGCACCCGTGGCCATTCTAGCACTTGCTCAGCTTCTGGGACTGCCCCTGGAACTGGGCGACTTCCTGGGTTCCAGGCCTGAGACTTGGCCTTCCAACCTCTCACTGACATGTCCCTTCCCAGGTGCTGGGACTGTACAACACTCTGAACCCTGAAGCATCTGCCTCGCCTTGCTGCGTGCCCCAGGACCTGGAGCCCCTGACCATCCTGTACTATGTTGGGAGGACCCCCAAAGTGGAGCAGCTCTCCAACATGGTGGTGAAGTCTTGTAAATGTAGCTGAGACCCCACGTGCGACAGAGAGAGGGGAGAGAGAACCACCACTGCCTGACTGCCCGCTCCTCGGGAAACACACAAGCAACAAACCTCACTGAGAGGCCTGGAGCCCACAACCTTCGGCTCCGGGCAAATGGCTGAGATGGAGGTTTCCTTTTGGAACATTTCTTTCTTGCTGGCTCTGAGAATCACGGTGGTAAAGAAAGTGTGGGTTTGGTTAGAGGAAGGCTGAACTCTTCAGAACACACAGACTTTCTGTGACGCAGACAGAGGGGATGGGGATAGAGGAAAGGGATGGTAAGTTGAGATGTTGTGTGGCAATGGGATTTGGGCTACCCTAAAGGGAGAAGGAAGGGCAGAGAATGGCTGGGTCAGGGCCAGACTGGAAGACACTTCAGATCTGAGGTTGGATTTGCTCATTGCTGTACCACATCTGCTCTAGGGAATCTGGATTATGTTATACAAGGCAAGCATTTTTTTTTTTTTTTTAAAGACAGGTTACGAAGACAAAGTCCCAGAATTGTATCTCATACTGTCTGGGATTAAGGGCAAATCTATTACTTTTGCAAACTGTCCTCTACATCAATTAACATCGTGGGTCACTACAGGGAGAAAATCCAGGTCATGCAGTTCCTGGCCCATCAACTGTATTGGGCCTTTTGGATATGCTGAACGCAGAAGAAAGGGTGGAAATCAACCCTCTCCTGTCTGCCCTCTGGGTCCCTCCTCTCACCTCTCCCTCGATCATATTTCCCCTTGGACACTTGGTTAGACGCCTTCCAGGTCAGGATGCACATTTCTGGATTGTGGTTCCATGCAGCCTTGGGGCATTATGGGTTCTTCCCCCACTTCCCCTCCAAGACCCTGTGTTCATTTGGTGTTCCTGGAAGCAGGTGCTACAACATGTGAGGCATTCGGGGAAGCTGCACATGTGCCACACAGTGACTTGGCCCCAGACGCATAGACTGAGGTATAAAGACAAGTATGAATATTACTCTCAAAATCTTTGTATAAATAAATATTTTTGGGGCATCCTGGATGATTTCATCTTCTGGAATATTGTTTCTAGAACAGTAAAAGCCTTATTCTAAGGTGTATGTCTGACTCGATAAATATCCTTCAATTACCCTTAATTCCATGTCCGCATCTACTAATCAGAGGTAACCAGAATCTGGGGCAGAGAATCTGTCAATCACCAAACACATTGCTTAGCGCAACTCCCCTTACACAGGGGGCACACCGTGCTGACTTCCGCCTGCTAAGAAGACTGCACTATTGCTTGTGCGTCTTTCCTTCTTGCAGAGTATATTATTCTCAGAGACACAGAGGCAGTGGCTCAGATTGGCAGAAAGCACATACGAATTTGACCTCCAGATACCTGTGGGCAGGATCCCCTGGTGTGAATCCTTGCATATGGAAACATGGTTTATTTACTAACTATAAATTACCAACATCACTGTTTTCGAAAATCTCCCCCCACCCGTATCAGTTGAGAATGAGAGAAAATGTGTATGGCAAATGGCCTAAAAATATGAGGCTAATTCTGTTCTCAGGCTAAGCCTAAAAGAGCTAACCAGGAACCCCTTTTCAGATTGTGGCCCTCTTGTCAGGGATCTGGGAACCATAGCTCTCTTTTGAGTGAGGCCGTGGATCCCACTGTGGTATGGACATCCACGTGGGGCAGCCGTCCACAGTGAGCGGGCACAGAGCGACAGGCCATCTAGCAGCTCCTGAGAAACACATTCTTCTAGTGAGATCACTTTGCCTCTAGTAAAAGAAAAGTCTATCTGAAGCTAAAGTATGCAGGCTGAAGGATGTGTCTGATGTGTTCATGCCTGTGTGTGTGTGTACGTATGTGTGTCCCTTGTTCCTTGAGTTCTCCAAGACTGAAGTGAGTTTGGTCAGTACTTTTTTCCCCGCTTTGTCCACGCCCAGCCAATTCTAAGGGTTTCCCTCTCAGTCTTCATCCCATGTGGCACCCACTGACTTCCACCATCGTTCGGAGGGCTATGTCCCTGTCCTAAAATCCTGGCTGGCGGGATTATACTCCATCTTGCTCCAGGGAGCCCGGGGGCACAGAGAGGGGATGCAGTAAGCTCAGCACATCAGCCACGGGCTGCTGCTGTCCCAGCATCAGTCTATTCACCTGAGGGCCATTCTCAAATTCACTGGGCATGATAACCCCCAAGGGTTTATTTAAAATGTACAGTTTCAGGCTGCAGCTCTAGAGGTACCTTTAGGACTGCAGTAGGGTCCAGGTTGCCTCAAAACTATTAACACATTTTGAGAAGTGGTGCATTACACCCGACATCACTCGTCCTTACTTGAGGCTTCAATATAGAAAAGGGAAATAATTTTTTTGGCCCCAGATGAAACCCCCTTTTATCCAACTTCACAGCACATTGCTAAAACATTGGCCTGTGGTTCATCCTAATGAACCAAGGCAGCTAGATACATTTCCTGGATTATTCCAAAGAAAACAGAACGTGGTGCAATTCCAAATGGTCTTTTTCTTCAGAGCTCTACTTGTAGGTTAGGCAGCAGACACAAATACGGACAGGGGTCTGAAGTCAGCCCCCCTATTCTACACATCACTGACAGGTGCTACAGAAACTTGAATCACTGTCTTCAAAAATCGACGCTTGTTTTGGGGGAGGGTAAAGAGTGACATTGGAAATATCACCTCTGTTGGAGGAGGGCTCATAGCATCTGTCTGGTTTATTGCCAAGTGAAGTCCAGTCCCAATAAAAATGACTTGAAAGCACTTGGACACATGAAGGGAGAGATCTGGTGTCTTAGCACCTGATCAGCATATGGTAAGTGCAGTAAGAAATTAGCTGGAAGACTTCATTCTGATTGGTTACCTAGGGCAATTTCAAGCATTATAGTCTAAAACTTCTTTTACTGGGCTCATACTTTTTTCCCTTGTCACAAGATTCACGTGGTGAGTCCTCCCAAACCCCTTATTTCCCAATTCTACACCTCATCAGGGGACTATGGAGGAATTCTAATTTGTCCCCTAATCAACTCACAACCAATTGAGCAAATAGTTAAGGTGGTCCTGAAACTACTCTCCAGTCCCGGGGACATTTGGAATGCATTCTTACTTCTCTTCTGAAACCCATAGACCTCATCCTTCACAAGCAAACAAAATGTGTCCATGTGCCCAAACCTTTGTTTTCATTCAGTAAGAAGGCAATAAAGTCCCTTTTCTGCCCTTTTAGGTGTCAATTTTTTCTTTTTTTTTTTTTTTTTTTTTTTTTTCAGGTGGAGTCTTGCTCTGTTGCCCAGGCTGGAGTGCAGTAGCATGATCTCGGCTCACTGCAACCTCTGCCTCCCAGGTTCAAGCAATTCTCCTGCCTCAGCCTCCCGAGTAGCTGAGATTACAGGCGCCTGCCACTGCGCCCAGCTAATCTTTGTATTTTTAGTAGAGACGAGGTTTCACCATCTTTGCCAGGCTAGTCTTGAACTCCTGACCTCGTGATTCACCCGCCTCGACCTCCCAAAGTGCTGGGATTACAGGCGTGAGCCACTGCGCTCAGCCAGGTGTCAATTTTCTTTTTGGATTTCAACACTGAGTCCATAGTACCCTGCTGAAGAAGCCCCAGAGCCTGGGTTCTCCCCTGATAACTCTCTAGGGCAGCTAAGTTAATCCTTCAGTGGACTCTGCTGTCCAACTCTCAACCTTTTCTCTAGCAGAAGCCAGAGAGAGAGGACATAGGAAAGGGGAGGAAGCAAGAGGGCGGAGGCTTGAGGGGAGAGCACTGGGGCTGTGCTGCATCATTCAGGTGAACTGCGAGGTATGCAACATGCAACTGGATACAGGGCTCAAGCCACTGGAGGCCCACGCTGTGAGTGAGCCTGCCTGTCGAGGGCTGATAACGGAGACATCTGCACATGCCCGCTCCCCAGGTGCAGGAGCTGCCTTTGGGAATAGCCTGGACCCACCATCTGCTGAAATGAAATGTAAAAATAAAACATCTCTTTACAGCTCACATTTCTAAAATGTTTAAAAAATTGCACAGCCACAAAGTAAAATAAAAAACTGGTTCTACTTCAGTCCTGTTTGTGAATATTGATTGTTGGGAAATTAGTAAAGGGAAAAAAAAGAAAATAAAAATAGAATTACTTTATTAATCTTTGAAATCAGTAATTCCAAAGGGTGCCTTTACCCTGGCTCATGTTGTCAATGGCACACCGATTTGTCTCCTCTCTCTAGGAAACTTGTGATGAATGCTCCTCTTTCCCCCTAGATCCTCCGAAAAGGGAGGAACAACTTTGGCGGATGATGATGTTGAAATTTTAAGCTTGTACAAAGAAAATAAAGCTTCATACTGTAATCTGGAAAAGAAGAGGAAGCAAAATGCAAATAGCCAAAGAGCCTCTTTTATATCATCTCTGTGCAGCAGCAGTAAAGGGACAGAGAAGACCTAAGCAGTTTGGGGGCATGGGGCAAAGGGAAGGTAAAAGATACAAGTGTGCTCTGACGGGGTATATAATGCATCAGCTGAATGTCCCCACTGCCAAGTTCCATCAAAACCCAGAAGATCTGCTTTCTTGTTGTCCCAGTGAAAGTCTGCATTGGCTGATTGGCAACCATCTACTGCCACTTCTGCTCGAAGGCTTTGGGGACTTTGAGGCAGCAAAAAAAAAAATACTATGGACCCCTTGAAGTGCTGGTGGATGCTTCACCCTCAATCATGCACCCAGGAGTGGTGAACAGGTTGTTTCTCTGTGTGTTTGTGGTTCATATTTTAGTGTGAGCAGGATCTGAAAAAGAGAAAGGCAACCATGAAATGAATGAAATGACAGCATGGGGTTTTACTTACAGGCAGCAATGTCTGGTTTATCTAACATCACTGAAGAATAAAGAAGTGGTGGCCCAAATAAATGAAGTTCACCTCTAAGTGGAAAGCTCTTTTTTTTTTTTTTTTTTTTTTTGAGATGGAGTCTCACTCTGTCGCCCAGGCTGGAGTGCAGTGGCGCGATCTCGGCTCACTGCAAGCTCCGCCTCCCGGGTTCACACCATTCTCCTGCCTCAGCCTCCCGAGTAGCTGGGACTACAGGTGCCCACCACCCACCATACCCGGCTAATTTTTTTGTATTTTTAGTGGAGATGGGGTTTCACCGTGTTAGCCAGGATGGTCTCCATCTCCTGACCTCGTGATCTGCCCACCTCGGCCTCCCAAAGTGCTGGGATTACAGGTGTGAGCCACTGCGCCTGGCCACAAAGCTCTTAATTTTAACCACTTTTGTTGGAAACCTTCCTAAAATACTCCCAATTCTACTGCTGTTTCTTTTCTGTGTTGTTCTCTTTCCTTTTTTTTCTTGGACAAAAACACTTTATCTTTCCCTTTTCAAATTAAAAAATGCTAAATATGTCCATCTTTTCTAGAAACACAGTGTATTATCAGCATTTTTAAAGTGCATGAAAAAATTCTTCCATGTATGCTTTTGAGTTTTTCTAAATTTTCCCTCAATGTCAGAGTGTCAGATAATACTTTGCCTTCTCCTCAACCCCTCAATCCCAACAATATACACCTATATGCTCACCATCTAGTTTAAGAAAAGGAACTTTACCATTACCCTGCATCCCTGCTAGACCCTCCCAATTCTTTCCCATTCTCACCATCCTGAATTTTGTGTTTATCCTTCCCTTGTTTGCTTTTAAAAAAACAGGTTTATGATCTTTATGCCCCTATATAATATACTGTTGAATTTTATGTGGCTTTGAATTTTGTAGTGCTCCTGTGATTACACATGCAATCTCAGTATACTACTGGTAGAATTTCTTTGGGTATACACTTAGGAGGGGAATTGCTGGGCCATAAACACTTGGATCTTCAACTCTCTAATGCCATCTTATTTTCCAAAGTGATTATACAATTTACACTCCCTCTGGAAATGTATGAGCATCCTCACTTCTCCACACCTCTACATGTGGAGCAGTATTGCCTCAGTTTACAATTTCTGTGAATCACATGAGTATTCAATGGTATTCCACTGTGGCTTAATTAGCACTTTCCTGATTAGAAATGAGGTTGAGCATCTTTTCAAGTATCTATTGTGCATAAGTGTTTCTTCTTATATGAAATGTGTGGATATGCCTTTTGCTTATTTTCCTATTGAATTGTTATTGATTTTTTAAAAAACAGCTTTTTTGAGATGTAATTCACATATTGTACAATTCATTCCTTTAGCATGTACAACTCAATAGCTTTTAGTATATTATATTCAGAGTTGTGCATCCGTCATCATAGTCAATTTTAGAACATTTTGATGACCCCAAAAATAAACCCCATACTTCTTCGCCACCACCCCCTACATCTCTCATCCCTCAGCTATAGGCAACTATTAGTCTAGTTTACCTTCTGTCTCTATAGATTTGCCTATTCTGGACATTTCATATAAATGGAATCATGCAATGATCCTTCGGGACTGGCTTCTTTCACTTAACATAATGTTTTAAAGGGTCATCTATGCTGTAGCATGCATCACTACTCTACTCCTTTTTTATGGCTGAATAATATTCCATTGTGTGTATAGACCACATTTCATTTATCCATTCATCAGTTGTGGACATTTGGGTTGTTTCTACCTCTTGGCTATTAATAATGCTTCTATAAACAATGATGTAAAAATATTTGAACTATGTTTTCATTTCTCTTGGGTATAGATACGGAAGTGGAATTAATTGCTGGGTCATATGGCAACTCTTCACGTAAACTGTTTAAGGAACTGTCAAACTGTTTCCAAAAGCAGTCACGCCATTTTACATCCCTCCCAACAGTGCATGAAGGTTCCAATGTCTCTTTTCCATTACAGCCATTCTGGTGGGCATGAAGTGATACACTGCTGTGTTTTTCCTTTTTCTTTTTTTTGGTGCAGATGGGGTCTCGTTGTGTTGCCCAGGCTGGTCTCAAACTCTTCGGCTCAAGTGATCCTCCAAGCTGGTGGCTGCTGACCACTGTGGTTTTGATTTATTTCCCCAGTGGCTAATGATATTGAGGATCGTTTTATATGCTTCTTGGCATGGTATATCTTCATTGGCAAAACATCTGCTCAGTTCCTTTGCTCATCTTTAAACCTGAGTCGTCTTTTTTATTATTGAATTGTAAGCGCTCTGTATGTATTTTAGATACAAGTCCCTTGTCATATACATGATTTGTAAATATTTTCTCAATTTCATGGATTGTTGTTTTACTTCCTTGATAGTGTCCTTTGAAGCAGGAAATTTTAAATTTTTGAGGATGCCCAGTTTGTCTATTTTCTTCTTTTGTTGCTTATGCTTTTGATGTCATATCTAAGAAACTGCTTATTGAATTTTAGAAGTTCTTTGCTTAAATATCTGGATACTAACTTTTTGGTTTTTATGTATTACAAACATCTTCACCCAGTTTGTGACTTGTCTCTTCATTCTATGGTTTTTTGAGACAGGGTTTCGCTCTGTCGCCGAGGCTGTATTGTGCAGAGGCAGAATCATGGCTCACCACAGCCTCAACCTCAGGGGCTCAGGCAATCCTCCCACCTCAGCCTCCTGAGTAGCTGGGACCACAGGCATGTACCACCATGCCTGGGCTAGTTTTTAAATTTTTTTGTAGAGACAGAGTTTTGCCATGTTGCCCAGGCTGGTCTCGAACTCCTGGGCTCAAGAAATCCTCCCACGCTGGCCTCCCAAAGTGTTGACTTTACAGGTGTTAGCCACTGCGCCCTGCCTGGTATTTTTTTAAAGAGATTGTTTTGTAATTTATTAAGATAAGTGCTATTCAGGATAAAAATTAGATTGTATTTAGACATGTACTTAACAAGTGATCTTTACAGAAAAGGTTATGTATTTATTTATTTTCGAGACTGTCTTGCTCTGTCACCCAAGCTGGAGTGCAGTGGCATGATCATGGCTTACTTGCAGCCCCAACCTCCTGGGCTCAAACGATCCTCCTGCCTCAGCCTCCTAAGTACCTGGGACCACAAGCATGTGCCACCATGCCTAGCTAATTTTTTCTCTATTTTTTTGCAGAGATGGAATCTCCCTATATTGCCCAGCCTGGTCTAAAACTCCTGGGCTCAAGTGAGCCTCCTGCCTCAGCCTGCCAAAGTGCTGGGTTTATGGGCACAAGCCACCACACCTGGCCCAGATAAGGTTTTTAAAAAATATTAGAAAATCCAGGACAGTCACCATAAAAACAGGATGGATTAAAAACAAAAAACACATTTGTTTTTTTTTTGAGACAGGGTCTTAACTCTGTTGCCCAGGCTGGAGTGCAGTGGCATAATCATAGCTTACTGAAGCCCCGACCTCCTGAGCTCAAGTGATCCTCTCACCTCAGTCTCCTGAGTAGCTGGGACCACAGGCGTGTGCCACCAGGTTTGGATAATTTTTAAAATTTTTATAGAGACAAGGTTTCCCTATGTTGTCCAGGCTGCTCTGGAACTCCTGGACTCAAATGATCCTCCCTCCTTGGCCACCCAAAGTGCTGGGATTACAGGTGTGAGCCAATGCACCCAGCCCTGACAAAGGTTTTTAAAATAAAAAATTTCAAACATACATAAAAAATAAAACAGTATAATACACTTCCATGTTCTCATCATCTAGCTTTGATAATGATCGGCATCGTACCATTTGTTTCATCTCTTCACATTTGTTTCCTGGAGTATTTTCAAAGCAAACTCAGGATAACATTATCTTCAGAATCTATCTCTGATGAATAAGAAACAAAGGGAAAAAAACTCCCACAATATCTTCATGGCATCTTAGAAGTTCTTAATTTTAACCAGGTCAAATTTATCAGTTTTTACCTTTATGGTTTGCACTTTCTGGATTGGATTTTACAAGCCCTTTCCTTTTACCGTGACTATAATGATCTGGTCCTCTAATGTATTCTTAAAGATTTACACTTTTGCTTTTCATATTTAAGTCTCTAATCTGACCTGAAGTTGTGTACAGTTCGAAGCACAGATCTAATTCCATTTTTTCCTACACAAAAACTGATTGTCCTAACGTTATTATTGAAATCTATCCCTTCCTCTTCTAACCGCAATGTGTCTTGGTCGTAAGTTATTTCCTATATATAGACCAGTTTTAGGTTTCTCTATTTTGTGTCAATATCACATTCTCTTAAGCATGTTAGCTTGATGGTAATTTTTGTTATCTGGTTAAGACAAGTCACACACAGCCCCCTACTGACATCCCCATTCTTTATAGGAGTATAAGGGTTCTTCTCTCTTTCATATAAATTTCAAAAAATAAAAATAAACAACTAATACCCTCTCAAATATACAAATCAATTTTAGGGAGAACTGGTATCTTTACAAAACTGTAACTTTTTTTTTTTTCTTTTTTTTTGGAGACAGAGTCTCGCTCTATTGTCCAGGCTGGAGTGCAGCGGTGTGATCTCAGCTCACTGCAGCTTCCATCTCCTGGGTTCAAGCGATTCTCGTGCCTCAGTCTCCCGACTAAGCTGGGACTATAGGCATGCACCCCACGCCCAGCTAATTTTTTGCATTTTTAGTAGAGACGGGGGTTTGCCATGTTGCCCAGGCTGGTCTTGAACTCCTAGGAGCTTGGGCAATCCCCCTTGGTCTCCCAAAGTGCTAGGATTACAGGCGTGAACCACCAGGCCAGGCTACAAACTGTAACTTTTAATCCACGAACATGTAGGTCTCTCCATTAATTTCTTAAAGCATCTCTTGGTAAGGTTTTATATATATATATTCTTTATATAAGGTTATATATATATAGGATATAGAATATATATATATAGAATATATATATACTCTATAAAACCATATATATATTCTATATCCTATATATATATAACCTTATATAAAGAATACATATATATATTCTTAAAGCGTCTCTTGGTAAGGTTATATATATGTGTATATATACATATTTTATCACAGGTCTTACGTATCTTTTGTTAGATTTATTCCTAGGCATGTGCTTTAATGCTCTGTAAAGCATATCTTTTCAGTAATCACATGTTCTACCTGTTTGTGCAGAAATATAGAAATGTAATTGATTTTGGAAAATTCTCTGATAAAGCCAATAGTCTATTTGAACGTTCTTTTTGGGTTTACAATCAAATATGTTATCTGAGAATAATGACAGATCTGCCTCCTCCCTTCTGATCCTATATAATTTTCTTATACTCTGGAATAGTTTGTAGATTGAAATATTTGTTCCTTGAATGTTTGGTAGGACTCACCAGTAAAACACAAAAGCCTGGTAATTAACTTGTGGGAAGATTTTTGTTCTTGATTCAGTTTCCATAATAATTAAAGGAATATTTGGATTTTGTATTTCTTCTTGAGTAAATATTTGTAAGTTAAATATTAAAATTGTACTCATCCCACTAAAGTTTTAAAAATATATCAGCATGTCATCATAAAGTTATTCACAGTATCTTCCTACAATCTGTTTAATCTCCGAAGCATGTATAATAATGTCCCTAACTCATTCCTCTCAACTGTATGTTTATTTTCCTCTATATCTTTATTATTGCTATTATTATTTTTGGTTTTTACTTTCTTTTGACTTATTTTGTTTTTCTTTTTTTAACTTCTTAAACCAGATACTTGGCACATTAACTTTCAGCCCCTCCTCTTCCCTCACTGTAAGCATAAATTTTCCTTTAGGTATTACTTTACCTACATTTGTCAAGTTTTTAATATTAAACAACATTTTAAAATTATGATTTTTTTTTTTAAGATAGGGTTTCACTCTTGTCACCCAGGCTGCAGTGCAATGGCGCGGTCTTGGCTCACTGCAACCTCCACCTCTCAGTTTCAAGCCATTCTCCTGCCTCAGCCTCCCGAGTAGCTAGGCTTACAGGTGCCCACTACCACACCCGGCTAATTTTTGTATTTTTAGTAGAGACAGGGTTTCAGCATGTTGGCCAGGCTGGTCTCGAACTCCTGACCTCAGGTGATCCACCCGTCTTGGCCTCCCAAAGCGCAGGGGTTACAGGTGTGAACCACTGTGCCCCGCCAATTATGATTTTTAAATTAGTTAACTCTTTCTTAATTTCCAAAAATATGAGGACTTTTCCAGTATCTTTTTGTTATTGCGTTATGGTCAAGGAATGTAGTGTTTGAAATGTGATTTAAGGCCTACTACGTAGTTTCTGCAACTCCCCCATAGAAGATTGCAAAGAATGTGCATTATGCAGTTATTTAGTGTGATGTTGTATACACGCCTATGAGATCAAGCCTGTTAATGATGTAGTTAAAATTTCGATTTTTTTTTTTTTTTGAGACAGGGTCTTGCTCTGTTGCCCAGGCTGGAGTGCAGTGGCATGAACACAGCTCACTGCAGCCTAAACCTCCTGGGCTCAAGCATGGGGATGCGCCAGCCTCCCATGTGGCTGGAACCACAGGCACACACCACGCCCAGCTAATTTTTCGATTTTTTTGGAGAGACGGTCTCACTTTGTTGCCCAGACTGGTCTCAAACTCCTGGGCTAGAGTGATACTCCTGCCTTAGCCTCCCAAAGTGCTGGGTTTATGGGTGTGAACCACTATGCACAGCCTCTTAAATGTTCTTATTATCAGAAACATTACTTATTATCAGACTGCTCAATCTAGCAATTACTGAGTTACATTAAAACCTTCCAATATAAAGCTAGATTTATCTATTTTTCTTATGGTTCTGTTAATTTTTTGCCCAATGTACTTTTCATAAATATGTATTTATTAAATGAAAAAAACATTAAATATACTAGTTAAAGTAAGTTGACGAGAAAAGGTTGAGCACTTTCTTGGTGAACCTTTAGCCATAATGTAGTGACCCTCTTTATTTCTTGTTATGCTTTTTTGCCTGAAAATCTATTTTGTCTGATAAATATAGCTACATCAGCTTTCGTTTGGTTGGTATTTCCCCAATATATCTTTTTCCAACCTTTTTCTTTGATCCTTTATATATGCCTATGTAAGATTTTCTTGTTTTAATAGCCTAAAAGTCTATTTTTTAAAAATCCAGGCTGACAATATAACTATTTCTGGTTGGCCATTTTCTCTTCCCTCCACTGTTCCCACCTTGTCCCTGCCTGATATAGCAGCCACAGCCATCCTGTGAAATCCTCTGCTCAGAATTCCTTGATGGCTACCACTACACTCAGAAGACAAGCGCCAAGTCCTCTCCTTGGCCCCCAGGGCCTGCATGATCTGGCCCCTTGTCATCTCTCAGCCTCATCTGTTCTCACTCTCCTCTGCTCTCTCGTGCAACATGACAGCTCCACTTGAATTTCCCAATCACAGCAGCCACATCCCTCCCTCCAGGCATGAGCTCCCGCTGTTCCCTCCACCTGGAGTTCCCTTCCATCCATATCTGCCAGCTTATTCCCCCTTCTTCAGTTCTCACCGCAAAGGCCACTTTCTCTACTTTATTTAGAATAGCGAACCTCCCCATTCTCTACCTTCTTTCACTGTGTTGTTGTTTTTTTTTTTCTCTCTAGAACATTTCCCACATTCTCATGTACGGTTTGTGTTACTTATTTGGTCTGTTGTTTGTCTCTCCTATTGGGGATTTTTGGCTGTTTTGCTCACTGCTCCACGGCTTGTGCCTAGTGCCTAGAATAGTGCTGAACACACAGAAGATGCTTGGTCCATATTTGTTGCATTCATGAATCAATCAGTCTTTGACCTTCACTGGAACATTGAGTCAACTCACATTTTGGAAAGGGCCAATACTTTTATTTGTTCGTACTGTTTTAAGCTGTGCTTTCTATTTGTTCTACCTCTTCCATGTTTCCTTTTCCTCCTTGTGGATTTATTCTCTATCTCATTCCACTTTCTCTCTGCTACTTTGGAAGTTTTCTATTTTTTTAAATACTTTATTCATTTAACAATTGTATATGTTAACTATATAAAGGTAAAATTCATCAATAACTTTACCTTTTCACTGTACAGTATGAACTTAAATGACTTTAATTTTGAACATCTGCTCTCCTTGAGTTACATGATATGATGGTTTGGACATTTTCATTTTCTTTTTAACCTCACAAGAACATTATCATCATTTTGTTGCTCATTATGTTGCCCCCAATTCCTCCTGCATTTCAGACCTTTCTTCTGGTATTATAATACCTTCCTCTGTCTGAAATACATTCTTTAGACTCCTTGGCAAAGGTCTACTAGTGACAAACTCTTTTGCGTGTTATGTGTTGGAAAATGTGTTTCATCCTCATTCATGAAAGATATTTTTGCTTAGAATACATTTATGGTTTGGTAATTATTTCCTTTCCTCAATGGCAACATTACACTGTATTTTTGTTTCCATCTTTGCTGCTGAGAAGTTAGCTGTCAATCAGACTGGAATTGCTCTGGTAATCCTTCCACTCCCTCCAGCTGCTTTAACATCTTTTGACCTTAGTGCTCTAAAGTATGATGTGTCTAGGTGTGGATTTCTTGTGATTCACTGCAATATGTGTATCTTTCACTAGTTGTGGAAAATTTTTAGCCATTATCTCTTCAAATGTTGTCCCATTTTTTCTTTCCAGAGCTCCAATTAGATATTTATTAGGCCTTCTCAAATGGCTTTCCACCTCTTTTTCTTTCTGTGCTGCATTCCCAATCATTTATTTTTCAATTTATTATTATTTTTTGGGCAGAAGGGAATGTTTATTAAAAAACTTTAGAAGGCCAAGTGCAGTGGCTTATGTCTGTAATCCCAGCACTTTGGGAGGCTGAGGCGGGCAGATCATGAGGTCAAGAGATCGAGATCATCCTGACCAACATGGTGACACCCCGTCTCTACTAAAAATATAAAAATCAGCCGAGCATGGTGGCACGCACCTGTAGTCCCAGCTACTCAGGAGGCTGAGGCAGGAGAATCACTTGAGCCTAGTGGGTGGAGGTTGCAGCGAGCCAAGATCGTGCCACTGTACTCCAGCCTGGGGACAGAGCAAGACTCCGTCTCAAAAAAAATTTTTTTTTATATATAATATATATTATAAAAAATACATATTATAAAATAATATATGTAATATATATTATATATCTATAAAAGCTTTAGAGCAGGAACAAAAGGAAGGAAAGTACACTTGGAAGAGGGCCAAGCAGGTGGCTTGAGAGATCAAGTATGAGGTTTGACCTTCTGACTTGGGGTTTTATATGCTGGCATACTTCTGGCGTCTTGCATCTCTTCTCCCCTGGTTTTTCCCTTGGAGTGGGCTGTCCACATATGCAGATGCAGTGGTCTGCTAGCACTTGGGAGATGAGCATGCACAGTGTGTTTACTGGAGTTGTACGCATGCTCACTTGAAGCGTTTTTCCCTTACCAGCCAAATGTCCCTAGGAGGTCATATGCCAGTTAAAGGCCGCCATTTTGCCTCTTAGTGCACATGCTCAAGCCCACTCCCCCAACTCCTGAGATCTTATCAGGAAGCTACTAATCACTAGTTTCAGGTTTTTCCTATCTATAAGGAGACTGCCTTTCCCTGGTGCTGGCTGCAACTGATTATTATTTTAGAGAGACAGTTTCAACAACTGCCTGATCATCACCTGATGGTCACCTGACATTCCTGGTTGTGGTGGGAAGGGGTAGGGCAGGAGCCCTCTCTTGCCCTGCTCATGTCTGACTACCTACTGTAACCTTTCCTGACTCAAGAGTCCAAGATCCCAATTCTTTGGGGAAAATGGATGAAGGTCAGTCTTCTGTAACTGCTTTCCACTGACAGGTGGTAGTTGGCTGTTCTGTGGGTTTTGGCCTGTTGCTAGCTGTCAGGGCAGGGAGGCTCCGTGGGTTGGTGAAAGTGGGATCCAGCCAGGCCCAAGGGAGACAGGGGCAAGATTGTGCCTCTGTTTGTTCCACTGATGGGCAGTCTAGGGGTCCTTTGTAGAAGGGTGACTCTTGAATATTGAGAGGATGGTGTCCCTCACTGAGGATCATCTGAAGCTTGATGGCAAGTAGGGAATGTATTCGAGTCACACAGCAAAGTATGTTACCGGCGGAAGGTATCCAAGTCACATGGCACCAAAATATGTTAGCGGCAGTGAATCTGTATCTGTACAGGTCTGCCGCAGCCTCAATTATTGCCTCCTCAGAAGAAAGAATTTGACTGAGGGGCATAAGGCAGAAGAAGAGACCAAGGCAAGTTTTAGAGCAGGAGGGAAAGTTTATCAAAAAGCTTCAGAGCAGGAAGGAAAGCACACTTAGAAGAGGGCTAAGCAGGCGACTCGAAAGACAAGTGCCCAGATCATTTCTTTAAATCCATCTTTGAGTTCATTAAAGCTCTCTTCAATGAACTGGGTCAAATCTGCAGGTAGGCCCATCCATGGATTTTTAAACTTTAATTATTATTATTTTCCAATTCCAAAAGAGTTACTTAGTTCTATTTCAAATCTGCTTGGTCATAATTTTAATCTCTTGGTTTACTCTCTCTTTTAATTTCTCTAAACATATGAGAAAAGTTATTTTGCACTATTTGGCAATTTCAATTATCTTAGTCTAACACTGTTATCTATTATTTTGCTGGCTTTGCTCATGGTGCCATGTTTCTTTATTTGTTTTGTGATTTTAAACTCTGATCTCACAAAACTTTACCTGTGGGAATTATTTGAGGTTTGGGTTGGAGGAGGATTCCTCCAGATAAAACATGCATTTGATTCTGCTAGGTGCCTTAGGACCACCTTAAACTCTCAGTCTGAAGTTTTTCAGGCTACCTCCAGAATGTGAATTCATGCCCAAGCTTACAAGGGGTCCAGCTTGTGGTTATAAATTACCAGGGGAGATTCCCCTTCTCCACTCCATTTAGCACCAAGTTTCCAGATAGCCAGTTATCTTTCAATGCCTGAGGGACTGAAGGGTGGACGAGAGGGAGGGCTTATTTCTAGTTGACTTACATATGGAGACTATAGCTGGCACTCTGGGGTCCCAGTCTAGAAGGGTCTCCTCTAGACTCTTCACCTTAAGATTTGCCTATTGTCCCTTACATCCTGCCATAATTCGGGTACAGAGTCACTTCAATCCTAACTCCTGCCTGGTGATCCAGTGACGGGGTCATAAGAGCAGGAGAGGTATACAGAACAACGATGTTACTGCATTTTTCCCTCACTGCCTCTATGACCACGACTACAGCCCAGCTCTTCCCCGACACCGCCTTTTTTTTGTGGGACTTTGAAATACCAGCCACTGTAGCTAACCCATCTTTATTTTTGCTTTAATGGCTTGGCCTGGAAATTCTGTCTTTTTTTGGCCAAATGTCTACAGATAATACTGTCTTTATACACTCACTTGGCATTTATGAAATAAATGAAGTTATGTCTTATTATGTTAGTCCTAAAGTCAACAAGCAACACAAACATAAAATATATTCAGAACTACCCTAAAAAGTCTTAAAGCACCTGTAAAATACATCATGCCAGTTCGGCAACTATCAGGGAGTCCAACAAACACACTTATACTTCCATCCTTCTGTTCTTTCGTTAGCACCCAACTAACATGACTGGCTTGTGTTTAGGCCATAGAGAATGCAAGTATTTTTAGACATTGTGATCAACATTTGCCAAGGTAAACTGCACTATGAGAATCACCTAGGAATGAAGAACCATTGAAGCCAAGAGCAGATTCACATGTCGTGCTCATTTGGAAGCATAAGTTACCTGAGAGGAATGGTGGAGAGACCCTCCTAAACGATCTAAATCATTGTTTCTTTTATCATTTGGAGGCACATGGGGAGGGACTTTGTCTTGCATATACTGCTTATTTTCACTGCTACACTCTTAAGTGCTGAGATCGCATCTTACAAATTTTCACATGACCCAGGGCACCCAGCATTTTGCCTTATAAATATTTACATGAGAGCTGCTTGGTAAATAGTTGATTGACTGATGATCAATAGCGCTGTTACCCTATGGGTGGCAAAAGACTTCCAACTAACAATACAAACTAGGCTTCTACAAACAACAAAAGGCCTGATGTGGTAAGCGGCAATCTGTACTTCCAGGCCAGTGCTTCTACCACTCATCAGCTGTCTGAAGGTTAAGGGATACACATTTTTTTTTTTTTTTTGAGACAGAGTCTTGCTCTGTAGCCCAGGATGGAGTGCAGTGGCATGATCTCAGCTCACTGCAAGCTCCGCCTCCCTGGTTCAAGCCATTCTCCTGCCTCAGCCTCCCAAGTAGCTGGGACTACAGGCACCAGCCACCACACACCTGGCTAGTTTTTTTGTATTTTTAGTAGAGATGGGTTTCACCATGTTAGCCAGGATGGTCTTGATCTCCTGACCTCGTGATCCGCCTGCCTCGGCTCCCAAAGTGCTGGGATTACAGGTGTGAGCCACCGCATTTTTATGAAATCCTATGACTCATAGCTTTTCCAGTTCAGAAAAAAAAAAAAAAAAAAAAAAAAGTTCATCATGAATTTTCTGCCAATAAAGAAGGCCCTAAGCCAGGCAGGTGTGGTGATACATACCTATAATCCCAGCTTAGGAGGCTGAGGAGGGAGAATCACTTGAGCTCAAGAGTTCAGGATTCAAGACCAGCCTGGGCAACACAGCAAGAACCTGTCTCAGAAAAAAAGAATACAGTAAAAAGAAAAAATTCCTATCTGGAAAATGGGACAAATAAAGAAGGCTCAAACCTCAAATGTTATGAACATATAACCAAAGTTATTTTTCTCCCTCCAAGGTCTGAAGTGAATAAGAAAAATAAAATTAAAAACTTAATTTAAAATATTACCTAAATGCAAAGACGTTTACCTCTTAAAGATTTGTCCCTAAGGCCTTTCCAACTGATCTGGGCAGCCCTGGTAGTATCTTCTGGCAACATTCTGGTTTGATAAGAAAGGAAGTGAATGAATCAATTTATTTATATCCTGAGTGACATTAGTAGAAACGGACAGCTGGGGTGTGTGGGCCAACCTGCTGCCCCTCACCTTCCTGGGCATAGCTCCAGTATGTTGGAATGAATAACACAGGCACAAGAACATCAGATCCATTTCATGAAACCTTGCCTGGGTTGTCACAAAGGCGCCGGGCACAGCTGCAAGGGGTTTGTTCAGAGCAAAGACAGCCCAAGGAACTCTGCAATGCAGCCACATGGGACATGGGAGCCGCTGACTACAGCAGCACCACCAAGCCCTCATGGCCTCCCAGAAATCCTTTTTAATTTCTCATGAGTAATGCAGGCATCTGGTTCAGTTCAGATGCTAAAACCAACAAGAGCTCAAGTGTCCATCTATGGGGGAAGATTTCCTTTCTACTCGCAAATGAGTGTTGAATAATTTTAATACAATGCTATTTTAAGGAATTCTACTATAAAGAATTATAGTCATTAATACAACAAGCCTAATTCTTCTAAGAAAAATGCACATAACTCATTTCTGAAGATATACTTAAGTCTCACAAACCTGTAAAAAACCATGTTCCCCCTATTCTGGATTATTTTATTATAATAAACCCATCAGATGGGCATGATAACATTTTATCACGGAATAGAGAGATATAAATCTCTGAAAGACTTTCAAATGTCATTCAGTGAAAAGTGTTTCTTTTTGTAACTACATTTAGATAGTAAGTATCCTAATGGAAGACTGATTAACATGTTTGACAGAGGTTTTTTGGCATAAGAATACTTAATAACCACCCTGTTATGAAAATTTAAAAATTTTAAGGCTGACTAAAATCAATGTTCTTGGGATCTAATTCTATGATGTATCTACCATGCTAGTTTCGAAGCATAACCTACTTGAGTATATCTGGTGTATTTTTATATAAACATGTAAAACCTAGATTTATAAAATAAATGGCTGAATTATTAAAAGGAGAGTTTCTTTTATGAAGAGTTTCTTCACTTTCTTAAAAAGATTTAATTTCGGCCGGGCGCGGTGGCTCATGCCTGTAATCCCAGCACTTTGGGAGGCCGAGGCGGGTGGATCATGAGGTCAGGAGATTGAGACCATCCTGGCTAACATGGTGAAACCCCGTCTCTACTAAAAATACAAAAAAATTAGCCAGGCTTGGTAGCGGGTGCCTGTAGTCCCAGCTACTCGGGAGGCTGAGACAGCCTATGGTGTGAACCTGGGAGGCGGAGCTTGCAGTGAGCTGAGATCGCGCCACTGCACTCCAGCCTGGGCAAGAGTGAGACTCCATCTCAAAAAAAAAAAAAAAAAAAAAAGATTTAATTTCTTTATAGGGAGCTCTGGTAATGAAGAGTGGTAGAGTAAAACAATGCTACGAGCTATAAATTGATTTATGCTATTCACAAGCCTCAAACCTCTGGGATTTAAGGATAATGATTTTTGTTTTCTGCTCACTGGAGAAAATCTTTGGTGGGGCATTAGAATGGATTTTTATATAGCTTTGAGTTCAAAAGACAGATTGATGGTGGGGGTGGATTTTGCCTCTTCTAGAATAGCTTCTAGTCTGATAAAAATTCAGCCTCATTCCTCCTGTAGCAGATGCAGCATTAATGAGTCAAAGAGGGTGCTGGATACCAGTTCTCTATCTGAAGATTAGGAGAATAGCACTTTCAGTTACCTAAAGAAGGTGAGAAGTAAATGGTCCAGCTGGGCATGGTGGCTCATGCCTATAATCCCAGCACTTTGGGAGGCTGAGGCAGGAGGATCGCTTGAACCCAGGAATTTGAGACCAGCCTGGGCAACATAGAGAAACTCATCTCTACTAAAAATAAAATAAAATAATTAGCTGGACGTGGTGTTGCACACCTGTGGTTCCAGCCACTCAGGGGCTGAGGCAGGAAGATTGCTTGAGCCCAGAAGTATGAGGCTGCAGTGAGCTGTCATCATGCCACTGCACTCCAGCCTGAATGACAGAGTAAAGCTGTCTAAACAAATAAAATGAAATGAAATGAAGGGACTCTAGACCAGTGACTAACAGTGACTTTCAAACTTTTTTTCTGATTGCAATGCATAGTAAAAAGTACATCTCACATTGCCACTGAATGCACAACCATCTTTATGACTTAAATAAAATTCCCATAATACTTACACTTACTTTTACTGTAGATAGACCCTGGTATTCTTCTATTTCATTCTGCTGCACTGGGGTGGGGAGGCAGGGGAATGATGATTGTGACCAGTGGTGTGCTAGAAAATGTTTAACAGGCTCTCTACGGTAAAACAAATGAAAGCCCCAACTTTGTGTTGTTGGCCAATTTCCACCACAATTGAGTTCAAATAACCAACGCAAAGTTACTGAAGGCAGAGTTGGGAAGGGACACCTTCCACCAGCTCTTGTGAGCCTGGTTGCGACCCGTTAAACTGATTGGATGACCCACTGCTAGGTCACGACTCACAGTTTAACAATCACTGCTCTAGAGTATAGGCAATCAAGCTCTTTACTAGTTCACAGGAAGCCGAGAGTGGCCAGTGTATATTGTTTCCAGGAGGTACTGAAAGAGATCTCATGTGCTAGGGATGACAAGCCTCTGGGGCATTATGGGAAGACACTCATGCCTACTCTGCTGTAAGCATCTCTGAACTACTGTGCCTTCAGCCTCCCCAAAACTGATCATCTTGGGAAACTGAGATTTACGAGCAGTAACCTTAGGAAAATTGCAATCTCTCTGTGCTTCAGTTTCTTCCTCTGTAATATGAGAATAAAAACGTGTGTACCTCACTGGATTGCTACAAGGGCCAAATAAGGAAATCCATATGAAAGCATTCTGAAAATTATAAAGGGCACTACAGGTTATTATTCATGTAAAATGATTCAATTTAACAAAATTTTATTCACAGGCAATTTACATAAAGTCATCTGTCTTGGCATCTGAGCTCACTGATCATTCCCATCCTGGGACTCCGAGTTTCTGAAATATCCAGGTGTCTCTCAAGGCTGCCTCCATGGGCTCCCCCACTGGCTCCTTTTCCTCCATCCTTTGAACCTTGCTGCTAATCCTTAAACTCGTTTCCTTGGAGAATGCATCCACTCACAGTTTTAACAAGTATCTCCATACAGATGATTGCTCAATTCTACCTCTGGCTCCGACTTCTCCTTCTCTTTTGAGAAAAACCTAGCTGAGTTTAACATTCAGTCATCATCGAAACTTGACTTTGAAAATTCTAACAGTATTGTCTGTCCCACTCATCCATGATGCTAATTTTATAAATGGCACTAGTATTATCTCAGTTACCAATGTTTAATTTAAAACCACATCACACCCATTAGGATGGCTACTATCAAAACATAAACATTTAAAATAACCATAAAATAACAAGTGTTAGTGAGAATGTGGAGAAACAGAAACCCTTGTGTGCGGCTGGTGGGGGTGTAAAATGGTACAGCTACTACAGAAAGCAGGATGGTGGTTCCTCAAAAAATTAAAAACAGAATTACCATACAATCCAGCAATTCCACTTCTGTGTATGTACCCAAAAGAAATGAAAGCAGGGACACAAACATATATTTGCACACCCATGTTCACAGCAGCATTATTCACAATATTTAAAGGTGGAAGCAACTCAAGTGTCCATTGATTGCTGAATGGATAATGTGGTGTATACATACATTAAATTATGAATCAACCTTAAAAAAGGGAATTCTGCTTGTTACAACGCAGATGAACCTGGAGAACACTATGCTAAGTGAAATAAGCCAGTCACAAAATGACAAATACCGTATGATTCCACTTATATGAGGTACCTAGAGTAGTCAAATTCATAGAGACAGAAAGTAGAATGGTGGTTGCCAGGGGCTGGGGGCAAAAGGGAATGAGGAGTTATTGTTTAATGGGTACAGAGCTAAAGTTCTGCAAGAAGAAAAAAATTCTGGAGGTGAACGGTGGTGATGATTACATAAGAATGTAAATGGACCAGGCATGGTGGCTCATGCCTGTAATCCCAGCACTTTGGGAGGCTGAGTGGGTAGATCACAAGGTCAGGAGTTCAAGACCATCCTCGCCAACATGATGAAACCCCGTCTCTACTAAAAATACAAAAAAAAAAAAAAAATTAGCTGGACGTGGTGGTGCATGCCTGTAAACCCAGCTACTAGGGAGGCTGAGGCAGGAGAATCGCTTGAACCAGGGAGTTGGCAGTTGCAGTGAGCTGAGATCGTGCCACTGCACTCCAGCCTGGTGACAGAGCAAGACTCTGACTTAAAAAAAAAAAAATGTAAATGTACTTAATGCCATACACTTAAAAATGGTTGAAACAGCACATTTTATGTTACATATATTTCACCACAATTTTAAAGATGTTAAATAATTATGGATATTGATCTATCACTTATTCTGCTCCAGTGTTATATAAAGTGCTTATTGCATGAATTGTTTTATAATTTAACTCTGCATTTGTATAAGAAGCTAAGGGTGGAAAGCAGGGAAATTTACTATTTTTGTCTGCCTAGTGACACTTCCCATCTGCTTAGGGTTTCAGCCCCTTTCTCTTCCTTTGGGAAATTGCTCCCCACTTCTTCTATTCCAACCAAGCTATTACTGCCAGGCTACAAATGTTAATTCCACATCCTCTTGATCACAAAAGTTGATGCAAAAATGATCCCAGGCCTGGCCAAAACCTGAATCCCCTTGGCCACAGCAATTACTTCAAGAGGTGGTCTTATTACCCAGGCCAAGCCGATCCCAGTCCTTCTTAGGGAGTTATATATATATTAAAGTAGAAAGAGAGATGCTTCCCTCACTCTGTGGTCACTGCTGGAAAGAATAAGATGGAAGATGCTCAAACCACACCCTTCCATCTGATCTTGCCACATGGAAGAAGCCATATGATGCAAGAAATAGGGAGGTCAATGAAGCTGTGATGAGAAATACAAAGCGAGGAAGAGAGACGGATGGAAAGACGTGAAGCAGAGAGGGAGGGAGAGCAAGAAAGATCTGACTACACTTTAAGACAAGCCAGAGAAAGAGGAGAAAAACTTGAAGGTAGAACTGATCCGATGCACCCCTCAGGACAAGGGCCATTCTAATCTTTGCTGGAGCAAAGTAACAGACATTTCGTAGAAAATTAATCTTGGAACTCTCTATTTTCTAAAGAAAACCCAAAGAAGGAATATAAGTCTCCACTGTAAAAACATGGCAGTTTAAGAAGTATTTCTCATATGATTGTTGTGATGATTAAGTGAAAAAAAAAACTATGTAAAAATTACAGCACCTGGGATACAGCAGGTGCTCAATAAATAACTGCTATTCCTACCATGATTTTTCAAACTCTAATGACAAAAAGGAGAGAGAACCAGAAAACTCAAATTACTATTTAAGAGAATAGAGCATGAATTTAAGGGCTATATGCCATAACTTAAGTGTCATTTCTTCAAGGGTTTTCTCTTTTAAAAACTGTTCCTATTTGTGTGGTTTAAAAGTCATCTAGGCATGATTAAAAAAAAAATACAAAAGATTATGGAGTTAAAAGTATTTCTTCTACCCTAGACTCTTGGGTCTCCATCTCAGAGGCAGGCAGCTGCCTATTACTGGTTTGCATAGGTGTGTGGCTCACCCTTCTCAGGACTGTCTATGCACATACAAACATATATTCCTCCTCCCCTTTTTATATGAAGGGGAGCATAATCTACAGTGGGTTGGGTTTTTTTGGGGCATCTTTTACTTAACAATATCTCTCAGAAATTGTTCCACAACAACATAAACATCTACTTTCAAGAGAACTCTTTAGGTAATCCATAGAAATATCCAAATCCCAACACATCTTTTTAGTGTGGGTCTTGTGGGATCCTCCCACCATCCATCTCACTCTCTAGTTTCACAACTTGTTGTATGGAAAACTGAAATGGGCCCTAGAATCAGCCTATCATCTTGTTGTCATGCAGCCTGGAGATAACAGGAAACAGCTTCTTCCTCTCTTAAAGGCTCACCCAAGAGAGAGTTCCAATGAAGCAGGAGCTAAATTATTGCAGCTGAATACGTGGAGATGTTATTACTATTGACAGCTCCTTAGAGCTCTCTGAAAGGCAAAGGGAGAATCTCCCCTCATATTAGCATCACTCAAGAAACCAACGAGGGCTGTTGGTGAAAAGAAGTTTGACCTTGGTTGGGAATAATGACAGCTTTGCCACATAGACTCTGATTGTTAGACAAACACAAGACAATCAAGCTGACAATGCTACTAATTTTAGAGGCTAAAGCTACTGGGAACTCAGTGTACTTACTGAGGAATCAGATGTCAGCTCACTATCACCACAAAGCAGATGTCCTCTGGATCCTTTGAACTAAAGCTTGGGTTCAACAGTCCCCAATCCTTCTCTTGTAAAGTTCTTCCTATTAGTTCTTAAAGGCTCCAGAATATGACTGCTGCTTTATATTTATCTCCCAAATTAATCCATGCAGCCCCTTAACTGTTTTCTTACTCTTCACCGGATGTTCTTAAAAGCTCTTTGGGTATTATGGTGCACTGCATGCTCACCCGGAACCCAGTCTCATTTACTCCCTTTTTGTCCATTAACAATGAGAGAATGGTTAGAGCATTTTCTCAGCTTTTTATGACCTATTCTCCATCAGCCAAGATTGTCTTCAGTTTTACCTTCTGCAGTTTATGAAAGCTATAATTTTTTTTCACTTTCCATACATAAGATTACATTATAGTTTGACTGTGCTTTTTTACTAATGATAAACTTTATCCCTCCTTCCTTCCCCCCACCTCCTCTTGGTATGCAGCCCTGGATGAGAAGCACCATATTCAACCTAGACTTAAGCATTTATTGATAATACCTTTTCTCTTCAATCTAGTCCATTAAAATGTTCTTCGTCCCCCAGAAAACCTTGTCTTAAATGTCAAAAGTTTTTATCTTACAGATCATAACAATCTTAGGTTCACAGAATGAGAGTATAGCTTATAGATTAAGTTAGTCAGAGTGCTCATGTATTTGGTGAGGTTGAATCTACAGTATCACGTAAAAGTTGCCAATCTGTCCACCTCTAAATGCTTTACTTTAACTTATTTAAAAGCAACCCCAAACTAGTATGGCAGGCAGCCTTTTAATGACCTCTGTGACTCCTCCTCCTGGAAGGCATACCCTTATGTAATTGCCTCCCCTTGGGTGTGCACTGGAATCACTTCTAACAAAGAGAATACTGCAGAAAGTATGGGATGTTACTTCCAAGATTAAGTTATAAAAAGATTGTGGCTCCTGCTGTGGGAGCTTTCTCAGGCTCTCATGGCTTTCTGGCTCAGGGGAGGCCAGCCACTATGGGATAAGCCAGCTGTATTCGCTTGATAGGGCTGCCATAACAAAATGTCACATACTAAGTGGCTGAAATAACAGGAACTCATTTTCTCACAGTTGTGGAGGCTCAAAGCCCAAGATGGAGGTGCTGGCTGGTTTGGTTCCTTCCTTGGCTTGCAGATGGCCACAGTCTTGCTGTGTCCTTGCATGGTCTTTCCTCTATGTGTGCAAATACCTGGTGTCTCCTTGTGTGTCCATATTTCCTCCTCTTGTAAGAAGTCACACTGGAGCAGGGCCCTGCCGCATGGCCTCATTTTAACTTTATCACCTCTTTAAAAGAGCTATCTCTACATACAGTCATATTCTGAGGTATTGGGGGTTAGGGCTTCAACATATGAATTTTGAGGTGGACACAATTCAGTCCATAACAGCAGCCTTTAGAGAAGCTTAAGTGGAAAGAAGCTTGCCAACAACCACAACTTGGAGGCAGATCCCACCAGTTTATCCTTCCAATGAGACCACTGCTCCCAGCTGACAGCCTGACTGTAACTTCATGAGAGACCTTGAGCCAGAGACACTCAGTTAACCTAAGAAGTCTGATCCATGGGAACTGTGAGATAATAACTGTGTGTTTATTTTTTGAGATAGAGTCTCAATCTGTCGGCCAGGATGGACTGCAGTAGCATGATCCGGCTGACTGCGGCCTTGACCTCCAGGGTTCAAGCAATCCTCCTGCCTCAGCCTCTCCAGTAGCTGGGACTACAGGCACATGCAACCACACCCGGCCTGGCTAATTTTTTAATTTTTTTTTGTAGAGATGAGGTCTCACTCTTGTCCAGGCTGGTCTGGAACTCCTGGGCTCAAATAATCTTCCCGTCTTGGCCTCCCAAGTGCTGGGATTATAAGCGTGAGCCACTGTGCCGAGCCAAATATTTATTGTTTTAAGCCGTTAAGTTTTCAGGTAAAATTTGTTATGTGGCAGTAGACAATAATACAATAACAACTTCACCTATCAATAAAAAACTGTATTAACTAGAATGCTTGGGCAAAGAAGATTGGGGCTACTTAAACTTTTCTCTGAATTGGGGCTAAAGTCAAATATTTCTTTGCTTCAAACTTTGCTACAAATGAATCAGTGTACTTTTCTGTCAAAGTAACGGAGTCTTCGCTGACTGAAGACTGAGATCGTTCTAGGTGTCACTTGATAGTAATAAACAAAAAACAACACCAACAACGCTCTCACAGGCAGTATCTCATCCAGCTTTCACATCAACCTCATGAAGAAGACATGGCAACTATTTTGAGTGCATAGCAAAGCACCTGACACACACACACACAGGCATTAAAAATATTTCTAAATGAACGTATTTCCATTTCACAGTGACAAAACAGTCTGGAGAGGTTAACTAAATCGCTTCAGAGTGCACAGCTACTAAGTGCCAGGAATGAGAATAGAAGCTACTAAGTCTGGAGTTTTTCTACCACAGCAGTTCACCTTGTGTATTTGTTTGCATCTTTCTTCCTTGAAGTCATGGGTTAAAACAGTAAAAAAAAATAAAATGGCCTGTTAACATTCTATTTTACTTTTTATTTCCCCATACAGGCTGTGTTGGGATGAATGAGAAGTAGAGGCAAACAGCAAAAAACTCCATCGTGAAAATGGTGAATTCATAAGTATGGACATATACACCCTAGTTTGCTACTGAGTCAATTCTAAATGATTTGTATAAAATCTCCTTATCTTTTTAACATCAGTATATAGTGAAGTTAATATCTTTAGCTTATTAAAGATAGGTACTCCACTCTAGGCCTGTTTTTTGGTTCCTCCCAACCCCAAAGTTCTGGATGAATGAAGTAGAATAGCCTCCGAATATCAGAAAAAAAGTTGATTACAAAGATGCATGGAGTTTCTGTTTCCTCTCAGAAGTCCAAAGGACACAAGAAGTACAGAAGTAGTTGTTAAAATACCCATAATTTACAAGATATGAATATTGCATAGCTGATCTTACCACTGTACAGCCACTTATTCAGTGAATGCTAAACCTTACAATAGCAATAGAAATTTACCTTTTATCCCATATTTATGTATTGAATACCTACTATATGCCCAGTACTATGAAAAGCACTGGTGATACAGAGGTGAATGACATAATCCCCAATCCTTTTGGGACTTAATAATCTAGTGGTAGAGGGCAATAAGTAAAATAAAATAAAACATTGTAGCAAATTCTGTTACAATGGAAGGCAAAGGGTGCTACAGGAGTTGATAGTAAGGGATGGGATTTCTAGGAAGAGGAAACATCTTGTGCAATGGTGAAGAAGTTTGGGATAGCATGGCAAGTACTTTAGAATGACTGGAATTTAAACCTATGTGTTGAGGGAGTGGCTGGGGAGTGGTCTTTAATGAGCAAACCATGACTGGCTTTGGCAATCCACTTACAGAGTTTGCACTTTAAAGGGAGCTTCTGAAGACTTTTTAGTGGGGAAGCATCATAGTCATAATTGTTTCTAAAAGACCACTTTTAGAGCAGTGTGGAGGATAAAGGCAGGATACAACTTAGGATGAAGAGATCCGTCTGGAAAACACTGTAGTAATTCAAACAGAAAGTGTTATGTGTTTGAATTAAGGCAGTGGATATGAATGAAATTGGACTTGTTAAGTTGTTAACTGAGGGATATTTAAAGGGAAAAGTATAATAATGATAATCAAATATGCGGACTGAGGGGAGGAGCTCACATGCCTCTCAGTTTCTGGCTTTACCTCTAATGAAGGTGAACAGGAGGGACCAGAGGAGGGGTGTGTCTTGAGAGGATGATAAGGTCAGTTCTGGATGTGTTACACCTGAGATGCCAGTGATCCCTTCAGGAGACACGTCTAGAGGTGGCTGGGGAACATGGATCCAAAGAGACGTGTGAGCAGGAGAAGTACTACTTATGTTCATGTTTGGTGTGTATGGTGCCCCAGAATTGTGCTGGGCACAACAAATCTTTGAAGCCATATGTGACAGTCTTGGCTGGAGGAACAGGTTTGGAATTGTCCTAGATGGAGGTCAGCTGAAACTACGGGAGCAGATCAAGGACAGGATCTTAGAGAATAATATGAAAATTAACAAGCAAGCAAGGATGGGGAGCTTTATCAGGAAGAAGGAACAGCTAGAGCGGTAGAAAGGGAAAGCCAACATTCCCAAAAACTCAGTGTTGTTAAAGACCAACACTCTAAATATATGGATGATATTTCTCTAAGCTGAGTGATTAAATAAACTGCCCTTACTGATTTCTCAAAAGATTTATCATAGCCAGACTTTTAAATGATGTTAGGATTGTCCGGCTAAGGTTGATCTTAGAACTTAATCTTAGCCTCAATATTTATACCAGGTGAAATCGCTTCTTTCTCTCAGAACCATAAAAGTGCTTTCTTTGCCTAATCCTATTTTTGCATTTCCCCCCGTCACTTATCTCCCACTTGACCTCTGATCCACTTGTTCCGTGAATTTCTTGTTCTCTGCAAGAAACGTCAGTAGATATTTAATTAATAATATATACAGGCTGATTATCCTTTATTCAAAATGCTTGTGACTAGAAGTGTTTTAGATTTTGATTTTTTTCAGATTTTAGAATATTTGCATTATACTTACTGGTTGAACATCCCTAATCTGAAAATCCAAAATCCAAAATGCTCCAATGTGCATTTCCTTTGAGTGTCACGTTAGCACTCAAACAGTTTTGGATTTTTGAGTATTTCAGATTTTGCATTTGTAGATTAGGTATACTCAACCTGTGCTAGTATCTGTCAACATATGAATTTGTAATCATTCTTTTGCCTTACTCTACAATTTGAAATTCTGTTTTACCTTGTATGTGTTCATTCTCTACATTATAGGTTAGGATCTTTGGATTTGTTATTCTTTACATGCACCTAGTATTGTGCTGAGCATAATTAGTTATTCAAAGAATAATTAATAGACCATACAAGCAAGGCCACAGGAGAACACCAAACATCTGAAAGGTGGGAATAGAAAACAGAAGTCAAAGAAACTTTGTCGCAACTCTAGTTACAAGTCTGTACTGGTCTGCTTAATTGCTTTGGTGCTTACGTTCAGTTTTTTAAATTAGAAGTCCCCTTGCCATATATAAAATTATTTTTATTTTTCCAAATAATGAGATTTGAAGTTTGAAAAGTTACTTTAAACTGAGTTTGGTAACCATGACGTGTGACAGATTATATAGATTACCAGCAATTTGGACTTGAACCTCCTTTCTCAAAGTGACGAGATACTAATCAGCATTATAGGAAAAATGGTTCCAGGTCAGATAAACTTAAGAAATGCTGAGTGAAAAATAGGTATCTTTGGCCGGGCGTAGTGGCTCACTCCTGTAATCCCAGCACTTTGGGAGGCCGAGGTGGGTAGATCACCTGAGATCAGGAGTTCAAGACCAGCCTGGCCAACATGGCGAAACCCTGTCTCTACTAAAAATACAAAAATTAGCCAGGTGTGGTAGTGGGCACCTGTAATCCCAGCTACTTGGGCGGCTGAGGCAGAGAGAATTGCTTGAAACCCGGAAGCGGAGGTTGCAGTGAGCCAAGATCGTGCCACTGTACTCCAGCCTGGGCGACAGAGCGAGACTCCATCCCCACCAAAAAAAAAAAAAAAAAAGGTATCTTTATTGAAAGACTTTTCAGAGTCTTTAATATGTTAATATATTACAACTCTAAGAAGTGGCATAGGGTAAATAGCATTTGTCAAACTTATTTGACTGTGAAGACTTGTATTTTGTGAACACATTTTGGGAAACCATGAGGACCCTGAGACCAAAGAGGTTTGGTGACTTGCCCAAATTCACACAAATGGTAGCAAAGCTGAGATGAGAATCAGTTCTAATTTTAAATTGAGAGCTCTTTTCATTATACTACGCTGCTGCTATGCTAATTAGTTTTATTCTAAACACTTCATGGAAAGCAGTACACAAAATTGATACCACTGATCCACAGAAATTCTGACTTCTAAGACTCAGAGATTCCCTCCTTGTGTACAATGACAAGATGATCTCTCTGGAAGTATGTCAGCTGCTCCGTGGCCACGAAATAAACTGTGGGGGTGGGGAGGGTGGGCAGGAGGAGGAGCTCCCTGGGATGCTTTACGATGCTTAAAAGAAAAATGGATTTATGCCGAGGATAATTCCTGGAACAGATGTGAAACTAAATACTTCATATCACAATCCTGCCCCCACCCTTTCTGCAAGGGAAATGAAATAGCAGGATTAACCTGCTCTTCATCAGATCATGCTTTGTTTCTTTCAAAAAATCCCATGACCAGGGCAGATTCCATTTCCTGCTACTCCCCTTCCTATCACAACTAAGGGGACAGCCCAGGACAGAAGAGGCTTTCCTTGTGCCCTGCGATCACCAGGCAGGTTAATGCTCGAATATTCCCTTTTACCCCCAACACACATGCCACTTTCTCTGTCCTCACGCCATTAGGAAGTTGTCTTTTTTTTAGTGTAATAAGCATCGTAGAATGCTGAGAAATACATCAATCTCAGGGGAGGGAGGGAGGAATTCTAATTAGTTTAATTCTAATGCTCTCTGAAAAGAGTACATATAGGCTGAAAAGTGGCTCAGTGCGTGTCTGTGTGTTTTGCCATAAAAGCTGAGGTTTGTGAAAGAGATGGATGAATTTTATAAATAAAATAACATTTTGCCCAGGAAATGATAGAGTAAAGCAGAAATACAGTGATATATATATATATATATATATATATGTTTTTGTCATTCATTCATCACAGAGCTAGCTGTGCCATAATTTAATAACTCAGGTGTCAGGACATAAACTCTTCTGTTTGAGCCAAAAAGAACTGGAGCTTTCTCACTATCTTTGCTAAGCAATGAAATGCTGCTTTCCCTAATGACCCTGGCGGCTAGGCCAGGATCTCAGAGGAGGTCAGTGGCAGTTACCTCCTTTTTGAGTTGGGTTTGGTTGGAAAGGGTTTCGCCTACAGACAATCTCTGGTGCTCCATGGAAACGAACACCAAGAGCATCCCAGCAAACCAGGGGCTGGGTCACTTGAGGTATCTCTAAGAATCACCTTTCAAAGGCCAAACCACTTGTTCAATCACATCACAAGTGGGCAACAGGATGGTGTCAGGGAGGGGTGCCTAGGAACAGCAGAATTAAAGGGATTAACAATGGGAGAGAAGCAATTGGTGGCACAGCTAGCCCCATTCTCAGCTGCTCTTTCGTGGATTTGAAGCATGAGGTGAAGCTTAAGGCTGTGAAACTATAGTCAAGGTCCTCCTTGCTCTGTGCTGACGAAAGCAACAGAAATACTCGGGAGCCTGACACCTTTCCAAACAGGGAAAAAGAGAGTGAGGCCAGGCCCAGGGACAGCTGCTGTCCCCTAGGCACACCACCTTTCCTGGGAGGATAAAACAGCAGGGGCAGAGCAGAGCCCAGACATCTTTCTGCCTAAGACCTTAGAACACACTTCACACACGGGAGGCAGTCAAATTATTTGTTGGACGAATGAACAGGACACACTAAATACGTATTGATCAACAATTTGTCCATCTAAGATGTGAAGACAATTTGCTTATGTTGAAGGGCTTTTTTTTCCTCTTACTTTCTAAATATTAACTATTGATTCTTTCAGATTTATTGTGATATATTTCACATATTAATAAAATTCACTCATTTAAAGTATACAGTTCGGTGGTTTTTATTGTATACACAAAACGGGGGGATGGTTAATGGGTAAAAAATAAATAGAATAAGACCTACTATTTGATAGCACAATAGGGTGGTTATAGTTAACAATAACTTAATTGTATGTTATAAAATAGTATAATTGGATTGTTTTGTAACTCAAAGAATAAATGCTTGAGAAGATGGCTACCCCATTCTCCATGATGTGCTTATTTCACATTGCATGCCTGTATCAAAGCATCTCATGTACCCCATAAACACATACACCTACTATGTACCCACAAAAATTAAAACAAAAACAAAAACACAAACACAAAATGGGGTAACCATTACCACAATCTCATTTTAGAACATTTTCATTACTCCAAAAAGAAACCCAATGCCATTAGCAGTCACTCCCCATTTCTCGGCCCCCGCCAGCCCCAGTTCCTAGGCAATCTGTATATATACACTGCATTTTGTTTATCACTTCATTTTCTGGCTAACATTTAGGTTGTTTCCACATTTTTGGCTATTATGAATAATGTTGCTATGAACCCTCGTATACAAACATTTATGTGGACATATGTTTTCATTTCTCCTAAATGTATATTTAGGAGTGGAACTGTAAGGTCATATGGTAACTCTATGTTTAACTGTTTCAGGAACTGCCAAACTGTTTTCTAAACCAGCTGCGCCATTTTACATTTCCACCAGCAGTGTATAAGGATTCCAATTTCTCCACATCCTCATCTCCACTTGTTATTACCTGTCTTTTGATTACAGTCATCCTAGTGGTGTGATGTGGCATTTACTGTGGTTTTGATCTGTATTTCTCTAATGACTAATGATGCATCTTTTCATTGGTCATTTGTATATCTTTTTTGGAGAAATGTCTATTCAAATCCTTTGCCTGTTTAAAAAATTGGGTTGTTGGTACCAGCCACTGCAAAAACATGCCAAATTGTAAAGACCATTGATGCTATGAAGAAACTGCATCAATTAAGAGGCAAAATAACCAGCTAACATCATAATGACAGGATCAAATTCACACGTAACAATATTAACCTTAAATGTAAATGGGCTAAATGCCCCAATTAAAAGACACGAACTGGCAAATTGGATAAAGAGTCAAGACCCATCAGTGTGCTGTATTAAGGAGACCCATCTCACGTGCAGAGACACACATAGGCTCAAAACAAAGGGATGGACGAAGATCTACCAGGCAAATGGAAAGCAAAAAAAAAAAAAAAAAAAAAAAAAAAAGCTGGGGTTGCAATCCTAGTCTTTAAAATACATAGACAAGTTCTCCCTCTCCCTCTCCCTCTCCCTCTCCCCACGGCCCACGGCCCACGGCCCACGGTCTCCCTCTCCCTCTCTTTCCCCGGTCTCCCTCTGATGCCAAGGCGAAGCTGGACTATACTGCCGCCATCTCGGCTCACTGCAACCTCCCTGCCTGATTCTCCTGCCTCAGCCTGCCAAGTGCCTGCGATTACAGGTGCGCGCCGCCACGCCTGACTGGTTTTCGTACTTTTTTGGTGGAGACGGGTTTCGCTGTGTTGGCCGGGCTGGTCTCCAGCTCCTAACCGCGAGTGATCCGCCAGCCTCGGCCTCCCGAGGTGCCGGGATTGCAGACGGAGTCTGGTTCACTCAGTGCTCAATGGTGCCCAGGCTGGAGTGCAGTGGCGTGATCTCGGCTTGCTACAACCTCCACCTCCGAGCCGCCTGCCTTGGCCTCCCAAAGTGCCGAGATTGCAGCCTCTGCCGGGCCCCCAGCCCGTCTGGGAAGTGAGGAGCGTCTCTGCCTGGCCGCCCATCGTCTGGGACGTGAGGAGACCCTCTGCCTGGCTGCCCAGTCTGGAAAGTGAGGAGCGTCTCTGCCCAGCCGCCATCCCATCTAGGAAGTGAGGAGCGTCTCTGCCCGGCCGCCCATCGCCTGAGATGTGGGGAGCGCCTCTGCCCCGCCGCCCCGTCTGGGATGTGAGGAGCGCCTCTGCCCCGCCGCCCCGTCTGGGATGTGAGGAGCGCCTCTGCCCGGTCGCGACCCCGTCTCGGAGGTGAGGAGCGTCTCTGCCAGGCCGCCCCATCTGAGAAGTGAGGAGACCCTCCACCTGGCAACCGCCCCGTCTGAGAAGTGAGGAGCCCCTCCGCCCGGCAGCCACCCCGTCCGGGAGGGAGGTGGGGGTCAGCCCCCGCCAGGCCAGCCGCCCCGTCCGGGAGGGAGGTGGGGGGGTCAGCCCCCGCCAGGCCAGCCGCCCCGTCCGGGAGGGAGGTGGGGGGGTCAGCCACCCGCCCGGCCAGCCGCCCCGTCCGGGAGGGAGGTTGGGGGGTCAGCCCCCCGCCCGACCAGCCGCCCCATCCTGGAGGTGAGGGGCGCCTCTGCCCGGCCGCCCCTACTGGGAAGTGAGGAGCCCCTCTGCCCGGCCTGCCGCCCCGTCCGGGAGTGAGGTGGGGGGGTCGGCCCTCCGCCTGGCCAGCCGCCCCGTCCAGGAGGGAGGTGGGGGGGTCAGCCCCCCGCCCGACCAGCCGCCCCATCCGGGAGGTGAGGGGCGCCTCTGCCCGGCCGCCCCTACTGGGATGTGGGGAGCTCCTCTGCCCGGCCACCACCCGGTCTGGGAGGTGTACCCAGCAGCTCATTGAGAGCGGGCCGGGATGACAATGGCGGTTTTGTGGAATAGAAAGGGGGGAAGGATGGGGAAAAGATTGAGAGGTCGGATGGTTGCCGTGTCTGTGTAGAGGGAAGTAGTCATGGGAGACTTTTCATTTTGTTCTGTACCAAAAAAAATTCTTCTGCCTTGGGATCCTGTTGATCGGTGACCTTACCCCCAACCCTGTGCTCTCTGAAACATGTGCTGTGTCCACTCAGGGTTAAATGGATTAAGGGTGGTGCAAGATGTGCTTTGTTAAACAGATGCTTGAAGGCAGCATGCTCATTAAGAATCATCACCACTCCCTAATCTCAAGTACCCAGGGACACAAACACTGCGGAAGGCCGCAGGGTCCTCTGCCTAGGAAAACCAGAGACCTTTGTTCACTTGTTTATCTGCTGACCTTCCCTCCACTATTGTCCTATGACCCTGCCAACTCCCCCTCTGCGAGAAACACCCAAGAATGATCAATAAAAAAAAAAAAACAGGCAAAATAACCAGCTAACATCATAATGACAGGATCAAATTCACACATAACAATATTAACGTTAAATGTAAATGGGCTAAATGCCCCAATTGAAAGACACGAACTGGCAAATTGGATAAAGAGTCAAGACCCATCAGTGTGCTGTATTAAGGAGACCCATCTCACGTGCAGAGACACACATAGGCTCAAAACAAAGGGATGGACGAAGATCTACCAGGCAAATGGAAAGCAAAAAAAAAAAAAGCTGGGGTTGCAATCCTAGTCTTTAAAATACATAGACAAAATAGACTTTAAACCAATAAAGATCAAAAGAGACAAAGAAGGCCATTACATAATGGTAAAGGGATCAATTCAACAAGAAGAGCTAACTATCCTAAATATATATGCACCCAATATAGGAGGACCCAGATTCATAAAGCAAGTTCTTAGAGACCTACAAAGAGACTTAGACTCCCACACAATAATAGTGGAAGACTTTAACACCCCACTGTCAATATTAGATCAACAAGACAGAAAATTAACAAGGACATCTAGGACTTGAACTCAGCTCTGCACCAAGCAGACCTAATAGACATCTATAGTACTCTCCATCCCATATCAACAGAATATACATTCTTCTTAGCACCACATCACACTTATTCTAAAATTGACCACATAATTGGAAGTAAAGCACTCCTCAGCAAATGTAAAAGAACAGAAATCACAACAAACTGTCTCTCGGATCACAGTGCAATCAAATTAGAACTCAAGATGAAGAAACTCACTCAAAACCACACAACTACATGGAAACTGAACAACCTGCTCCTGAATGACTACTGGGTAAATAACAAAATGAAGGCAGAAATAAAGATGTTCTTTGAAACCAACGAGAACAAAGACACAACGTACCAGAATCTCTGGGACACATTTAAAGCAGTGTGTAGAGGGAAATTTATAGCACTAAATGCCCACAAGAGAAAGCAGGAAAGATCTAAAATCAACACCCTAACATCACAATGGAAAGAACTAGAGAAGCAAAAGCAAACAAATGCAAAAGCTAGTAGAAGGCAAGAAATAACTAACATCAGAGCAGAACTGAAAGAGATAGAGACACAAAAAACTCTTCAAAAAAACCCAATGAATCCAGGAGCTGGTTTTTTGAGAAGATCAACAAAATTGACAGACTGCTAGCAAGACTAATAAAGAATAAAACAGAGAAGACTCAAATAGACGCAATAAAAAATGATAAAGGGAATATCACCACTGATCCCACAGAAATACAAACTACCATCAGACAAATAAACTAGAAAATCTAGAAGAAATGGATAAATTCCTGGACACATACACCCTCCCAAGACTAAACCAGGAAGAAGTTGAATCTCTGAATAGACCAATAACAGGCTCTGAAATTGAGGCAATAATTAATAGCCTACCAACCAAAAAAAGTCCAGGACCTGTCGGACTCACAGCCGAATTCTACCAGAGGTACAAAGGGGAGATGGTGCCATTCCTTCTGAAACTATTCCAGTCAATAGAAAAACAGGGAAACCTCCCTAACTCATTTTATGACGCCAGCATCATCCTGATACCAAAGCCCCGCAGAGACACAACAAAAAAAGAGAATTTTAGATAAATATCCCTGATGAACATCTATGCGAAAATCCTCAATAAAATACTGGCAAACTGAATCCAGCAGCACATCAAAAAGCTTATCCACCATGATCAAGTGTTCATCCCTGGGATGCAAGGCTGGTTCAACATACGCAAATCAACAAACGTAATCCATCACATAAACAGAACCAGAGACAAAAACCACATGATTATCTCAATAGATGCAGAAAAGGCCTTTGACAAAATTCAACAGCCCTTCATGCTAAAAACACTCAATAAGCTAGGTATTGATGGAATGTATCTCAAAATAATAAGAGCTATTTATGACAAACCCACAGCCAATATCATACTGAATGGGCAAAAACTGGAAGCATTCCCTTTGAAAACCGGCACAAGACAAGGATGCCCTCTCTCACCACTCCTATTCAACATAGTGTTGGAAGTTCTGGCCAGGGCAATCAGGCAAGAGAAAGAAATAAAGGGTATTCAATTAGGAAAAGAGGAAGTCAAATTGTCCGTTTGCAGATGACATGATTGTATATTTAGAAAACCCCATCGTCTCAGCCCAAAATCTCCTTAAGCTGATAAGCAACTTCACCAAGTCTCAGGATACAAAATCAACGTGCAAAAATCACAAGCATTCCTATACACCAGTAACAAACAAACAAACAAACAAAGAGCCAAATCATGAGCGAACTCCCATTCACAATTGCTACAAAGAGAATAAAATACCTAGGAATGTAACTCACAAGGAATGTGAAGGACCTCTTCGAGGAGAACTACAAACTACTGCTCAACAAAATAAAAGAGGACTCAAACAAATGAAGAACATTCCATGCTCATGGATAGGAAGAATCAATATAGTGAAAATGGCCATATTGCCCAAGGTAATTTATAGATTCAATGCCATCCCCATCAAGCTACCAATGACTTTCTTCACAGAATTGGAAAAAACTACTTTAAAGTTCATATGGAACCAAAAAAGAGCCCACATTGCCAAGACAATCCTAAGCAAAAAGAGCAAAGCTTAGGAGGCATCGCACTACCTGACTTCAAACTATACTACAAGGTTACAGTAACCAAAACAGCATGGTACTGGTACCAAAACAGATATATAGACCAATGGAACAGAACGGAGGCCTCAGAAATAACAGAACACATCTACAACAATCTGATCTTTGACAAACCTGACAAAAACAAGCAATGGGGAAAGGATTCCCTTTTTAATAAATGGTGCTGGGAAAACTGGCTAGCCATATGAAGAAAGCTGAAATTGGATCCCTTCCTTACATCTTATACAAAAATTAATTCAAGATGGATTAAAGACTTAAATGTTAGACCTAAAACCATAAAACCCTAGAATAAAACCTAGGCAATACCATTCAGGACATAGGCATGAGCAAGGACTTCATGACTAAAACACCAAAAGCAATGGCAACAAAAGCCAAAAAAGACAAATGGGATCTAATTAAACTAAAGAGCTTCTGCATGTCAAAAGAAACTATCATCAGAGTGAACAGGCAACCTACAGAATGGGAGAAAATTTTTGCAATCTACCCAACTGACAAAGGGCTAATATCCAGAATCTACAAAGAACACAAACAAATTTACAAGGAACAAACAAACAACCCCATCAAAAAGTGGGCAAAGGATATGAACAGACACTTCTCAAAAGAAGACATTTATGTAGCCAACACACACATGAAAAAATGCTCATCATCACTGGTCATCAGAGAAATGCAAACCAAAACCACAACGAGATACCATCTCATGTCAATTAGAATGGCAATCATTAAAAAGTCAAGAAACAACAGATGCTGGAGAGGATGTGGAGAAATAGGAACGCTTTTACACTGTTGTTAGGAGTGTAAATTAGTTCAACCATTCAAGGATCTAGAACTAGAATTACCATTTGATCCAGCGATCCCATTACTGGGTATATACCCAAAGGATTATAAATCATGCTACTATAAAGACACATGCACTTGTATGTTTACTGCAGCACTATTCACAACAGCAAAGACTTGGACCAACCCAAATGTCCATCAGTGACAGAACTGGATTAAGAAAATGCAGCACATTTACACCGTGGAATACTATGCAGCCATAAAAAAGGATGAGTTCATGTCCTTTGCAGGGACATGGATGAAGCTAGAAATCATCATTCTCAGCAAACTATCACAAAGCAGAAAACCAAACACCGCATGTTCTCATTCACAGGTGGGAACTGAACAATGAGAACACTTGGACACAGGGGTCGAGGGGAACATCACACACCAGGGCCTGTCGAGGGGTGGGGAACTGGGGGAGGAATAGCATTAGGAGAAATATGATGGGTGCAGCAAACCAACATGGCACATGTATACCTATGTATCAAACCTACACGTTGTGCACTTGTACCCTAGAACTTAAATTTAAAAAAAAATTGGGTTATCTTTTTATTGTTGGGCTACAAGAGGTCTGTATATATTCTGGATACAAGTCCCTTGCCATATAAATGATTTGCAAATAATTTCTGCCACTCTGTGGGCTGTCTTTTACATTTCATTTTGTTGTTGTTGTTGTTGTTGTTGCTTTTGAGACAGGATCTCACTCTCACCCAGGCTGGAGTGCAGTGGTGCAATCTCAGCTCACTGCAACCTCCACTTCCTGGGCTCAAGCATTCCTCCCACCTCAGCCTCCCCAGTAGCTGGAACTTACAGGCGTGAGGCACTATGCCTGGCTAATTTTTGTATTTTTAGTAGAGATGGGATTTTGCCATGTTGCCCAGGCTGGTCTCAAACTCCTGAGCTCAAGTGATCTGCCTGCCTTGGCCTCCCAAAATGCTGGGACTACAGGTGTGAGCCACTGCACCCGGTTTGTCCTTCACATTTCTTGGTGGTATCCGTTGAAGCACATAATTTTAAAATTCTGATGAAGTCCAACTTGTCTAATTTTGTTGTTGCTTGTACTTTTTGGTATCACAGCTAAGAAACTGTGGCCTAATCCAACGACATGAAGATTTATTCCTATGTATTCTTCTAGGAATTTTATAGTTTTAGCCCTTTCATGTAGGTATTTTATCAATTTTTGGTTAATATTTGTGTAGATGTGAAACAGGGGTCCAACTTCACTGTTTTGCATGTGGATAACCAACTGTTCAAATGCCAGTTGTTGAAGAGACTATTCCGCTGAATAGTCTTGGTACCACTGAATAGTTGTTGAAGAGACTAGTCCACTGAATAATCAATTGGCTATTTGATATATAAGTTTATTTCTGGACATTTAATTCTATCCCATCCATACTGTTTTGGTTACTGTAGCTTTATATTCACTATTAGATTAAAATCCTTTTTTAAAATTATGACTCCATACTGCTGAGTGAACTTCTGTTTTGGATTTTTCAAGTTACCAGGCCCCTCCCTGTCCTATTCTTTTTGGAGAATCTCAGCAAAGACCTGAGCACAAGGAAGCTTTTCTTTTCTTTTTCTTTTTCCTTTTTTTTTTTTTTTTTTTTTTTTGAGACGGTCTTGCTCTGGAGCCAGGCTGGAGTGCAGTGGCGTGATCTCAGCTCACTGCAACCTCTGACTCCCTGGTTGAAGCAATTCTCCTGCCTCAGCCTCCCGAGTAGCTGGGATTACAGGCACGTGCCACCATGCCCAGCTAATTTTTGTATTTTTAGTAGAGACAGGGTTTCACCATGTTGGCTAGGATGGTCTCGAACTCCTGACCTCGTGATCCACCTGCCTCAGCCTCCCAAAGTGCTGGGATTACAGGTGTGAGCCACTGCGACTGGCCAGAAGCTTTTCTTTAAATGAAACAGGAATCATTAATAACTTGTCTCAGTGTTTAAAGCAGCTATACTGTGAGCAAATCTTAGGAAGACAACATTCGTGAACAGAATTTACTATCATAATAAAATTAAAGTTATAACAATATTAATCTCCATAATTTAAGAGTATACATAGTCATTATTCAGCTGAAGGATAATCAAATAGTAAATAATTTATGTGAATGAATGTGATATATCATAATTTTATATTGTACTCAGAGCAAATTTATAATTTTGATAAGTATATTTATAGGGTACTTTTTTTCTCTATGGCTCATTTTTTCCATCTTCCTCATTTACGGTGACCTTTTAAACACTTCCAGAAACATGAGGGCTCTCATGTGTTACTGTAACTGAAAGGTAATAGGGACCCCCAACTCCATGTACTAGTAGACAGGACTGGGGCAAATTTGGGTCAAGGAACAACGTATCTATTTATAGCAGTCAAGAAGCTGGTGGTAGAGGGGCTGCAGAAGTGTGATGAAGTTCCTCCAGCAGGGGTGGAGTCTCTGGAAAGAAAATGTGCTGTGATTGAAACCAGTAGATGTATATCATTAGCCATCCCCCCTTCTTCCTCAATAAAAGAGCCCAGATCTGACTGGGAAGGCAATGTGCCCAGCTAAAAGACCACCTCTCTAGACACCTCTGTTGCTAAGGAGAAGTAGGCAAGGGAGCCAGTGTTGGCCAATGATATGGTAGTTAGAACTGCTGGGCTTCCAAGAAAGTGTTTTTGAAAGGGGGACAGATTGACCTGGCATCTGTCTTTTGCCCTTCCCCCTCTTCTCACTGAAACATGGACACAATGCCGGTAGGAACAGAAACCATCTTATGACCAGCAAAATGAAAGCCAATGCATTAGAGTTAGTAGAGCAGAAAGAGAGCAGCCTGGCTCCTCAGTTATGTCTCTGAAGAGCAGCACTAGCCCTGGACCTCCTGTCTCCAGACTTTTTGACATGTGAGAAAAATAAATCCCTTACTTACCCTGCCACTGATTTCTCGGAGTTTCTGTTACCTGCAGGGAATGCTCTCTTAACTAATCCAGGGGTGATTCCCAAGCCCTCTCGGCTTTTCCCCCACCTCCTACCTCCTCACTTCAGCTCCACCCTCTGCTGCAGAGCTTCATCTACATCCATGTTTCCTCTGCCAACCAGAACTGCTGTCCCTTCGAAGGCGGTTCGGGCATGTGGGAAAGATCCCAGATCACCCCCACCCAGGGGAGTAGAGGCAGAAGGCCCACCTTGCTCCTTATCCTCCCTCTCCAGGTCTGGCTCCATCTAAATAAGAGAAAGTTAAATGGCTGGATAAAGAGACAGCCAGCCTAAACTACACATGCCCCCCTACTGCCAGGCATCCCCCTAATGAGCCATTTGAGATAACAACCAGACACTGCAGGGAGGCGGAGGCCACAGGGCCTGATCACCAGCCGCTTAGCTCCATTAGGAAAGGAAGCTGATAAAATGAAATCACCTTGACGGGCCGAGTTTTCAGATGAAGAAGCAGTTCAGCAGCTTCTAGAAAAAAACTGCTTGGGTGTGAATTTCAGCTCCATCATTGACCGTGTGGCTTGGACAAGCTACTTAACTTCTCTCAGCCTTAGTTTCCTCAAATGCAAAATCGAGAAAACAAAAACACCTAATCTGGGGTATAATACATACACAATCTATAATCTTTCTTTAAAAATTGTGGCAAAATACATGTAACATAAACTTTACCATCCTAACAATTTCAAGTGTACAGTTCAGTGGCATTAAGTGCATTCACGCTGCACGACCATCCCATCATTCAGCTCCAGAACTCTGCATCCTGCAAAACTGCAACTCTGTGCCCATTAAACAAAAACATCCTATTCCCCTCTCTCCCCACCCCCTGCTGACCACCATTCTACTTTCTACCTTTCCGATTCTGACTACTTTAGGTACCTTGTATAAGTGGAATCATATAGTACTTGTCTTTTTGTGATTGGCTCATTTCACTTAGCATAACGTCCTGAAAGTTCCATGCTGTAGCTTATTGCAGAATTTCCTTTATTTTGAAGGCTGAATAGTATTTCACTGAATACATAGACCACATTTTGTTGACTCATTCATCTGCCGACGGACACTTGGGATGCTTCTGTCTTTTGATTACTGTGAATAATGCTGTTAGGAGGATACAAATATCTGTTTCTGTCTCTGCTTTCAATTCTTTTGGGCATACGCACACAGAATGAAATTGCTGGATCATATGGTAATTCAATTTTTTTGTTTTTTTGAGACAGAGTCTCGCTCTGTCACCGAGGCTGGAGTGCCCTGGTGTGATCATGGATCATGGCAGCCTCGACCTCCCAGCTCAAGTGATCCTCCCACCTCAGTCTCCCAAGTAGTTAGAACTATAGGCATGTGCCACTGTGCCTGGCTACTTTATTTTTCGTAGAACCAGGGTTTCCTTATGTTGCCCAGGCTGGTCTTGAACTCCTGGCCTCAAGTAGTCTTCCTGCCTCAGCCTCCCAAAGTGCTGGGATTACAGGTGTGAGCCACTGCACCTGGCCAGTAATTCTATGTTTAATTGTTTGAGGAACCACCATAGTGTTTTTCATAGTAGCTGCACCATCTTCCATTCCCAACAGTACACCGGGGTTCCAATTTCTCCACATCTTCCCCAGTACTTGTTAGTTTTTAGTCCTCCCTTCCCTTCTTCCCTCCCTCCCTCCCTTCCTTCCCTTCTTTCCTTCTTCCCTTTCCCCTCCCTCTCCTCCCCTCATCCCTCTCTATCTCTCTGTTTCTTGTGACAGTCTTGCTCTGTCACCCAGGCTGGAGTACAGCAGCCCGATCATATCTCACTGCAGCCTTGAATTTCTGGGCTTAAGCAATCCTGCCTCTGTCTCCCAAGAAGCTGGGACTACAGGTGTGTGCAACCATGCCTGTCTAATTGTTTTTATTGTCTGTAGAGACGGTGTTTCACTGTGTTGCCCAGGTTGGTCTTGAACTTCTGGCCTCCAGTGATCCTCTTGCCTTGGCCTCCCAAAGTGCTAGGATTACAGGCAGGAGCCACCATGTCCGACTTATTTTTTGCTTTTTTAATAGTAGCCATCCTAAAGGTGTGAGGTGGTATCTCACCATGGGTTCTGATTTGCATTTCTCTTATGATTAGCAATGTTGAGCATCTTTTCATGTGCCTATTAGTTATTTGCATATCTTCTTTGAATGTCTATTCTAACCCATTTTTATACAGGAATTTTTGCTGTTGCTATTGAGGCAATCTATCATCTTCATATCCCAATCCTGCAAGATTGATATTTTTATGCTTATTGTATAGATGAGGAAACTGAGGCTGAAAGAGGTTAAGTGATTAGCCTAAAGTTGCCAACTGGACAGTGACAGGGCCCACACAGGTCAGTCTAACTTCACAGTTATGATCTTTCCACCCTGCATTCTGGAATTCTTACAAAACTTAGGTATTGTTACTGACAACAGCAGTGGTAATGCTGCATGGCCCTGTGAAGCAAAAAGAAGTAAGGAAGGTAACAAGTAAGGGTTGAGAGAACTTTGGTTTTGTTTCTGGGAATACTGTGCACATTTAAAGTGTAACATATGACTCCGGAACCATGATGATAAATTTTACACAATACTCAACACCTGTCAGATTAGAGTGTGGTGTTCAGTTTCAGGTATTACACAACTTAAGAGGAACCTAAAGAATTCATGGTGAGTTCAGAAGATAAGAAAGACAGTTCAGTGTTCAAAAGAGAAATCTGATCTGTGCAATAAACAATTCCAGTTAGTTAGGTGATGTAGAGGGGAGAAAAAAAAAGCTGAAAGCGAATGTTTTCCAAATAAATTCAATCTCATTTTAACTTTGTTCCCTTATAATGAGATTCTTGAATGTGGTCTAAAATGGAACATCTTCATACTGAAATCTACCATGTAACAAGTTATAGTAAGGTTGGGAATGTGTAGCAGATGTTGTTATCTAAAGAGTAGCGATCGGCCGGGCACAGTGGCTCATGCCTGTAATCCCAGCACTTTGGGAGGCCAAGGTGGGCGGATCACGAGGTCAGGAGATCGAGACCATCCTGGCTAACACAGTGAAGCTCCGTCTCTACTGAAAATACAAAAAATTAGCCAGGCATGGTGGCAGGCTCCTGTAGTCCCAGCTACTCAGGAGGCTGAGGCAGGAGAATGGCGTGAACCTGGGAGGCGGAGCTTGCAGTGAGCCGAGATTGGGCCATTGCATTCCAGCCTGGGCGACAGAGCAAGACTCCGTCTCAAAAAAAAAAAAAAAAAAAAAACAAGAGTAGTGATCAATCATTCATTATTTTACAGGAAGTAGTTTTACAATGTTGCAAGAAATGGGATAGAAATACCAGGTAATTTATAAGGAAGGTTATTCTGATTTTGAAGACTGTTTAATAATAAAATGCATTTTTTATGAAATCTTCATTAGAAGATTTTATCTTCTGAGGTTAGGCATTTGACTTAAATCCAGGAGAACAGAGGAAATGGACTATTTTTCAGAAAAGTTTTATGTATGTATGTGTTCTTTTCTTTAGGGTCTACAATACAAAGTAATGAAACATTTTGGGTATTACTAGGGATTGAAGAAACATACAGATATAATTCTGCCCTCAAAAAGTTTATGGTCTTATTGAAGAGACAATTCACCCAAAAAGTAAGCAGTGATAAAAGATGACAAAATCTGAAGAAGTGTTAAACTTTGTGATATAAATTGTAGGTCTCTAGGAATTTTTTAAACGACAAGATAAATGAGTGACAGAGCGGGACTCATCTCAAAACACAAATAAAAACAAAAACAAAACAAAACAAAAAACTTAACTGGGCCCTTAGGGGATAAAATATATATATATATATATATATTTTTTTTTTTTTTTTTCCTTTTAAACAGTCTTCCTCTGTCGCCTAGGCTGGAGCGCAGTGGTACAATCTTGGCTCACTGCAACCTCTGCCTCCCTGGACTGAAGCAATTCTTCTGCCTCAGCCACCCGAGTAGCTGGTGCTAAAGACGTGTGCCACCACGCCCAGCTAATTTTTGTATTTTTAATAGAGACAGGGTTTCGTTATGTTGGCCACGCTGGTCTTGAACTCCTGGCCTCCAGTGATCTGCCCACCTCGGCCTCCCAAAGTACTGGGATTACAGGTGTGAGCCACTGAGCTTGGCCTAAGAATAGGAAGAATTTGCATATGTAGGCAGGTATTCCAAATGTCAGTAGAAGAATAAAAAAAGGCAGAAATATGAAAATTTACTCATTCATCTATTCAATCAGAATTTCTTTTTTATTTTTGGTTATTTATTTGTCACCTTATTATTTTTTGTTTTCTTTTCTGAATTGGGATTTCTTAAGCCCCTACTACAGGCTGGGCACTATGCTAGACCCTAGAGTTTTAGAGTCCACTTGGACCTGATCCTCGCATTCCAGGAAATTTCAAGCTTAGTAGAGGGAGCAGTTAAGTAACCATAAAGATCCTAGAGTATTGTAAAAGCCATGATAGAGGTAATTACAGAGTTCTAAAGAGCAGAGTCAAAAGCATCTAAATCAGATTAACATAGGGTAGGGCTGGACAGGAGAAAAGTGGTTGAGGACAAACAGGAATAGGCATATTGGGGAGGGAGGGAGCAAAAGTGGGGAGATGGTGCCTAGGCAGAGGAAACTGTGTATGGGAGTCAGGGAGCAGACAATCAACATGCCACATGATAGAGCGAGAATACTGCTTAGCTGCCAAAGCTTTCAGAAGATGTTACCTCTGCCACCTGCTTTCCCAAGCATATATTAATAGACGCATCTTCAAACAGTAAGATAAAAGACCAGGTATCTGGATCCTTGCCTAAGAGCACAACTAGTTCTTATCAAGCAATCAATTGAGAGAAGTTATATTTAGGATTGCCTAAGACACATGCAATTCACCCAATCCTCTAAATAACCATTATCTTACCCTTGGATTACGAAGACCACAAGGAAACTTAGACTATATTCCTTTTGTCCCCTCACAAAACTGTCTTCATTGACGTGTACTATAATATTTTATCTTTGCACAGTTCATGCCAAGGAGTAGGCATATGAAACACAGCACTCTATTGGCCTGTTGACTGAGAAGCTACTATTGACTATTTTTTAATAGTTCATTAGCAGTTGACTACTACTTTATTAGGTGTCTTGTATATAAAGTATGTAAAATACTTCCTTTAGAACCAATACTAGGAAATATCTTGACTTTCCCTGGAGTATTTCTTCCTTTTTGATTGTGAGAACTATATACTCCAATTTATCATGTTTCCCTGTTTGCCCTGCCTATTAGGAATCTTAGAACCAAATTTCACCTCAACGACAATAAGTTTATTTAGGCTGATATTTGAAAACTTGGAATTATCTTGTTTTTTGGCCCTGACTTTCCCTTTATACCTTGTTATTTTATTGCATGTGGTTTTATATTTTAAGACCCTATGCTGGACATGAAAAGGCTATGCTGTACCTGCCTAGCTACAATCCCATCTGAAAAAATGGTCAGACATGCATACATTGGCAGCTTTGTATCACACAATCATACTACCCTAGTACCAGGCTGGCATCTGTCTGGAAGGCAGCTGCCACCCACTTTATTTAGGCCAGTTAAGGCCTGGGAGAGAGAGCTCTGCCCACCAGGGGCACTTTGCTGGAGGAATGAATGAGAAGTATTCCATTCTGTCTTCTGAAAACTGAATGTAAAAAAAAAAAAGGAGAGAAACAATCCCATAGAGAGAGTCACGTCATGAGTAGGGCGGAGCTGTCAGCCTAGACAACAATGGAAGCTGGCTGCGGAGGAGCCAGCAAATGACCTGGCCACGGGATGGGCTAACCCGAGCTGCTGTTCAGCCAGTAAAGCTGCTGATTCTCTCAGCAACGCTGCAGGTTTTCAGGAGGTCTGGCTCTTGAGACTGATTCCTCCCTGTGCTCATGTACAACAACTTCCCTTCCAGAGGTGAACTGAGGGTCTCTCTCCTCTCGATCATCAGAAGGCTCTTGTGGTAATAATAAGAATAAATGTACACATGTACGATGATGATTAATTTTGGAGAATACTAAAAAGGAAGAATAAATATAAAACAGAAGGCCTGTGAGCGGTCATTTTTCTGAGTTGTGATTTTGAAAATTCCATATTCCAGTATCTGATTAAAAACTATCAATAATTTATTGCCTAATATAATTTGAAGCTTAGGCATAAGTTAAAAAACTCTCCTGTCAAATTCCAAAATATCTTCATTTGGGCTTGTCACAAGTCTTAATTTCCCTGGGAATCAAATTACAAATAAATAAAAAGGGAAGGAAAATACCTCACTCTCACTTTTCAGTTCATTAGATATTAAAATAAGAGTGATTCTTCTAACCAACACCAAACAACTAAATGATACATACAGCAACTTCTAAGCAGCTGCTTTTTCTTCACCTCATCATCTTAAAATCAGGTTGGTTTTCTAACTTCTTTCCCCATTTTATAATGGGGATAGAGGCTATGTTTTATTATAGCGAAGGCAAGTCCACACATTCAAGCTACTCCTCTCTGGTATCAACTAACTGCATAACCAGACTGGGCGCGGTGGCTCATGCCTGTAATCCTAGCACTTTGGGAGGCCAAGGTGGGCAAATCGCTTGAGGTCAGGAGTTCGAGGCCAGCCGGGCCAACATGGTGAAACACTGTCTCTACTAAAAATTAAAAAAAAAAATTAGCCATGCATGGTGGCGCATGCCGGTAATCCCAGCTACTCGGGAGGCGAAGGCTCGAGAGTTGTTTGGACCTGGGAGGCGGAAGTTGCAGTGAGCTGAGATCATGCCGCTGCACTCCAGTCTGGCTGGGTGACAGAGCGAGACTCTGACTCAAAAAAACAAAAACAAAAACAAAAGCAACCAACCACCCACCCCCCAACAACAAAAAAACCCTGCATTCAAGTTTTAAGAGAAGGGAGCCCCTTGACATCTATGGTGCAAACTGGAAATACCTGCATGTTCAAAAGACGAGAACAAAGAAGTATAAGAGACTACTGTTTTAGTTTTAGTAATGCTCTTCATTTTGAGGACTTAAGAGAATCTGAGTCTTTTTCTTTATAATCACAATTTGAAAGAATACAGGATAAAAATCAATACAAATCATGCCAACAGGGCAATACACTTCAAGTCATCATTCTCCAAGCCCTGCTATTATCTACCTACACTTTTTGGGACCTGGTTCAAACTCTACAGATCAGGTAAGCAGAGGTGTAAATATTTCCGTGTGGAAAGCTTGCTTTTTCCAAAGACAGGCGTGGCTTAGCATGTCATTTTCTTTCTTTAGAACTTTCAGGAGCAATTATGCCCTGAGGATATGAGGACAATAAAGCAAAGGTATGTGGCTATAAGATGTGTGGGTTCACAGGATGGATAACCACAGTGAACAGATCGATAACCTGGAGTGATATATATAAAGACAGAAAGAAGGGCAGCCTTATGCTGGTTACTTGCCCAGTTCAGGACTGCAAGAATAGACTAGATCGTCTTCTGTCCAAAGTGCATGGATATTACACAGGACCACACAACTCTGCAGCAAGATGTAGGAGTAGGCACAATTCTAACAATCCAGGCTGCCAGGCATTTTTTTCCAAGAGGTGTGTGTGCTTCTGTAATGTAAGTGTAATTTGAGAAAGGGGCCACTGTACTTCCCGTGTCTCTTTATAACAAAGTAGTAATTGTTAATAACTGAAGAATCATCACTCCTCTCTTGGGATTTTGCCAGTTCAGCAAGAAAAAAATATCAATTTTCAGATGTTATCTTCCTCCATAGCCTATCTCTTAATCCATTTTAGAAATGGAGTTCTCTGGTTTTCTTCAAGGCCAATGAACCCCTTTTGGATAGATTCTTAGAAGTACCCCTATTCTCTCCCCCAAACTAAAAGCCAGGCTGTCTTCTTCCTCACTTCCAACCAGGTTGTTCAGCTATACTTGGGTTTTGTTTCTGAATGTAGAAACAGTTACTAAATGAAATGCAAGAGGCCTCAGGACAGGAACGCATGCACTTCAATGGCTGACAGCCAGGTGATTCTGCCATGTAGAGGGATCCACATCCTTCTTGTGTGGCTACAGCCAGGTCAATGCCAGCAAAACACATACTGTTAAAACATCACTTGTGTAACACAGGCTACGGATGAAGTGCTATGCCCAGTTGCTTAGAACTGGGTGATGTAAACCTAATTCATGGTTCTTCCTGGTTCCTTGTATCGCAAGTTAAAGATATTTATCCTCTTAATGTTTGTTCTAAGAATGTACATGTTGGATACGGTATGTCAAAGTTGGTGTGGCCACAGGAGGAAAACAAAAACAAGGCTCCGAAGGAAGGTATCGTTTATTCTGACAGCTCCCAGAGAGGGGGTCACTGCACACTAAGCAGGGTCACAGTGAATGCACCAGTGTCAGTCTGGAGGCAGAAGACAGCAGTGGGGGGAAAAGCCTAGGTCAGAACCTTTGCTGGGGCTTCCATAGGAAAGGCAAGGCAGGGCAATTAAACAGCTTTGGATTGGCTGGATTGGCTAGTTTAGATAATTCCAGGGGGCTTCAGGGTATAGGGATGGTATCTAGTTGCCTGGTACCTGGCCCTGAGACGATTTTAGGGCAGGGGAAATTTTGGGTTGGTGTGTGAAAGTTTGATAAGGAGGTTGGGTGTAGATACTCAGGACTGGTTGGTTTGCATATAAAAGATGTGCTCATGGACAAGTTGTTACTACGTTTAGGAATTAACTAGCCCTGTGAAAGGCACTCTCTCGCCTGGGCCTGCAAGGATCCCAAATGCCAGGGCACTAAGAATACAGAAAATGGCCAGGTGTGGTGGTTCACGCCTGTAATACCAGCACTTTGGGAGGCCAAGGCAGGTGGATTGCTTGAGCTTAGGGGTTCGAGACCAGCCTGGGCAATATGGCAAAACCCCATCTCTACTAAAAATATGAAAAATTAGCTGTGCATTGTGGCACATGCCTGTAGTCACAGCTACTCAGGAGGCTGAGGTGGGAGGATCGCTTGATCCCAGGAGGCGGAGGTTGCAGTGAGCCGTGATCACACCACTGCACTCCAGCTTGTGCAACAGAGCAAGACCCTGTCTAAAAAAATATATATATACATACAGAAAATAAGAAAATATAGTTAATATAATTAGCCCTCTGATGAACAGACAAATACAGAATCTAAGAAAACAAAGAACAATGTAGGTATTTAAATATGACACTTGCCCTGGGCAGCATACAGGGGTCATACACAGGCTTTGCTCCTAATATCCTTCAGCACAGCTCCCTCCACTCTGATAAGGACAACTGACGTTTTTCTCAGTTTTATAAAACATGTAATGCAAACACAACTCAAATTCTCTAACCTGACTGCCTCTCTAAACCCACATATGAAGAGGTTCTAGGACTGTCATGGCCGGTGATGACATTCGTTCGTGATTATGGTTGAAGGGACCTCTGCTGCCTGCACTGCATTTGCAATAAAAAGAAAGCATGCTTCAGGTGAGGGCTGAGGCCTGTGGGGTTCTGCCTCCTCACTTTGTAAACAACCTAATTCTTCTGCTCAAGAGATGCAGCCCACTGCCATCGGCCACATGCCAGGCTGGTGGGCCTGACTCTGCAGCTTCCCAGCAGTGACAGTCGTGTCATAGGAGCTGGACTTCTGAGACCCTCTGATCCACTCTGTCCTCTTTGTCCATACACACATGCTGTCTCATCGCCTCAGCTAATCACAAAGCACAGCATCAGTCATCCCTCGCTTATACACAGCTCAGGCTCAGCATGGCTGTATCTGCAACAGAGATCAAAATGTTGAGAAATGGGCTCTTTCCCAAGGCTTCTTTTGCTGATGGTCCCATTTTGCCATGTAATGTTCAGGGTGGATTGTAAAGGATACTAATGAATGAGGTTCAAGGAAAGTGATATTATAACTGTGGCAGGTCCAAGTATCACAGTCCTAGAAGCAGATGGACATGAGTACTTCTTGGCAGGCCATCAGTTTAGTTTGGAGCTTGGTGTCACATTTGTTCTTCTGGCTGCCAGTCTCCTAAGGGAAATACTGACCTTCTTGCTTTAGTCTTCTATATTTTATTAGTTGTTCATCATTGGACAGGCTGCTTAGTATCAGAATTAAAGGGCCATTGGCTAAGAATTACCAAAAGAACTCTGGTTGTTTTCAGTTTCTCCAGTAAATTTTGGTATATGACCAAGCCATGGATTTGGTGTTCCCTTCTCTCTTCTCATTCCTTTCTGGGAAGAGTTTAGATGGGCTAGGGAAAGATATTTGAAGCTTGCTGATCCAATGTAAATGAATCCTGTGGTGGGTAAATAATTTTCCTCTCTCTTTTGCACTCCTGGGGTATTCTGATGAATAACGTTTCTCAAATAAGTTTATAAATATTCCCCCAGAGGTAAGAAGAGTATTAGCCTCATGGCAGGTGTGCCGTTAATGCATCAGTGTGTAGGGCAGAACAAAGAGGAAAGGAATTATCAAAGCCTTGAAGTTTCGCAGAATTTTCTGGAAAATTTTGAAGGCCATGGCTGGGAACAAAATACTGACGGCAGTGCTGGTGAAGTGTGGAAACAGCTTCACAAAATCAAGTTAGACCATGCCTTCGGTGTATGAGCTTTTTTTGGTTGGATGGAGGATGAGGTTTACAGTTTGTTTTGCTGCTAATTATAGCATATGTTTATTTAAGTAACTCAGCAAAAACACAATTCATCAACCTCACCAAAATTTGAAAAAAAATTTGTTCCCTCCCTGCCTCCCATAATCTGAAAGTCCAGTTTATAAATTCTAGTCTAAAAGCCTTAATAATAAATATCCATTCTCTTTTGCAACTACTGCAACTTTACCTTCAAATATCATGTTTTCCCATATATTATGTTATACTTTGTGATAACTCAATTATGGTTTTAGTTTCTTTATTTGAATTGTCTTAAAATCCTCGTATTTTTAAACAAAAGCCTCTAGTAATAGTAGAGAAAGTTCTTACTGCCACAGCGCCACCTACTGGTAGACCATTATAGGAGCAAACTATTTGGAGCTCAACTTTGACCCAGTTTGGGAGCATCCTTCTAAGTTTTGGTTTATAAAGCCCCAACTTCACTGTCATTTTGAGAAGCTAGAACTTCTTTTGGTAGCCACTAAGTCTCTTGCTGTAGTATAAAGTCAGCAAGTGAAAATGATAAAAATATGCTCTTATTCTTACCGTTACCTTAAATTGGCCCTGACTTCACCGACTTTGATTTTCTCTGTCCTATAACTGTAGCAAGGGCTTCAGATTGTGTGGGCAAGGGTTTGGATGTGGCGAAAATAACTTGGGGAGTATCCAAAGATCCTGAAAAATGGAAAAAAGTATCTCTACTTAACACTACATTTGATTTTGGCCCAAAGGACACAAGGTAAAATCTGAAACTAGGTTAAGGGGATCACCGTTCCCCCAGATAACGCCACCCCACTTCCTGTCAAATTCCAATTCACAGTCTCTCTTTTGCTTTTGAACAGCGTAAAAGTGGGTGATCAACCCAAATTCTTACCCCTCTGGCTCTGGAAAGAAAATCTGGGGAGCAATCAGGGGTTTTATGTGACTGTACTCCAGATCCACCCAGGAGCTCCAAAAACTATACAACACGTGGTGAAAAGAGTAAGAATCTGATCATGAAAATAGGCCATTCTGTTGAGAGCTGCCAGGCAAGTAATTTTGCTTGAAAGTTAAAGTGACATCTAGATCCTTAGGGTTTTGGCTCCACAGGGTTTACTATATAGTAATGTTCCTTTCTCTTGTTGTCTCAGGGACCCAACGAAGTGGGCAGTCAGAGTCACACTGATGTGCTGTTGCCCCATCCCCATCCAAAAAGCACAAAGCTATAGTACATTTTACTAGGGCCAGAAACAACGAACATTTAATAAGGACACTGCTCACTGCTTGCACATGAAATCCATCATTGATTTTCTAAAGGTGGTAAGGTCCCTTCCACCAATTGCAGACTACTAAGAGCTTAAAAATAAAAGGAGGGAGAGGTTGGGCTCCAGAACAGGAAAGGCTTAGGCAGAAGCTAAGGGGCAGGGATGAGGGCAGCTGCTGCGGCTTCAGACTCCTACAGTAATGGTAGTTTACATTATCAAATCAGCATGAGAGAAATGTCAGTTATCTAATCTGTTGCTCTCTGCTATTTTAGTTTACCATCACCACCTCAGAACTCAAGAAGAACACCACAGTTATAAAGAAGGAAGGCCAACGACTTTGGCTTTGGGCCAAGAGCTCTCACTCCAGCTTCCTTCTCAAGTTTCCAAATTTGCTGACTCTAAAACTTCCCTTCCACAGCAAACTACTAATATAAAGCCTGAGGTTGGTAAGTCAAGGAAAAACCACATTCATGGAGTACTCCAGGTACTCTGCTAAGAGCTTTCAATTCACTATCTCATTTAATGTTCATAATACCAAGAATGCCATTAAGCCACCATCTATAGGAAAGGACTCTGAGTTGTTTTTCAACAGTGCCCTGGGACGAATCACTATCTCATTCAGACTGCGAGAGAACAGTCACACAGCCGAAAGCCTGGCAGGCAAGACTTACAGGAAGAATTAAGGAACTAGAAAACAGACTTCTGCTATAGTCTTGGACTCAATATCATGTTTAACGGATTGAATTAACTGGACCAGATGGGCTAAATACCTTTCAAAGATGGTTTAGGGATTCCTACATAGGCACACGCTTCCCAGGTCTCAGGGAGAGGTGTAAACTTTTAGACTTATTATGAGAGTTGTTCTTCTTTCTTGTGGGTTTACAGAAAAATGTTGCTACTAGGAACCTAATCTCCTTTTTGTAGGATATCCTTCTGAACCCCTAGGATAGAACTGCTTTAAATCTACTTGTAATACAGAAAGCAAATGATTTTCAGTTCAAATGTTGGTGTGCCTGGCAGTTACTTACTAGTTGTACAAATAACTGTAACAGATTTAGTTACTAATGCTGTGAAGGTAAAATGTTCATTGGGAAGTATAGAAAATGCCTGAAGCTTACTATATCATGCACCTCAGTGTTTCTTTAACTAACGATCAGGAACACCAGAAAAATCAGAGTAGAAACAAATTCGAAAAGTTCAGAGGCCCAGAGCCTATTGGTGACAAAAGCAGTAAGTAATAAACTACCTAAACAATGAAGAAGAATGATCTGCTTGTTACCATAAAGTAGAATTAGCAGGGAAAGGTCACTATGAGAAGCCAGGAAGAAATACAACTTCTTCTTCTTGCTCTGTGGTTTCATACTGACACCAAGTTCAGTATGAGTGCCACAAAATCTTCTAAATAACGTTACCAAGAGTCAGTAAACAGTAATTCACGGTCAAGATGCTGCAAGTATGACCCACCTGACCACCCAAGTTTCCAACTGGCTCAGCTGGAGTGCATGCAAAGTTCAATTCAACACTTAATTTATCAATCAGACACGCAAATGAAGTATAGTCAGGGAACTCCTTGGGTTTGTGAACTTCTCCAGCAGAAGCAAACTTGAAGAGCCAAAGGGGTTCTCATAGGGTATCTCACAGAAATCCTTCACACTTGGCCATGATTCCCTTGTGCCATTACTTCGCAGTTCATAACAATCCCAGGTGAAGGTTTACTTTCTTAAAAATATAGTTAACTACCATGTTCTAGTAATTCTTTTTTTCTTTCCTTTTTTTTTTTTTTGGAGGAGTGAGGTGAATAGATACCCATCAAGTATTTCTTGAATTCAGGTTCTAAAATGTTCAGTGGAGAACACATCCTTATACTCCTATCATACTTCCATGGATCAGTGTGGCTGGGAACTGGGGCATGAGCAGGGAGTGGAAAGAGAAAAGGTTATGAGGTAGTAGTGGCCCGGGTGTAGTTACAGTAGTTATAGCGCCTTCCCTATATATTGCTTCATTTAATCCTTACTATAAGCCTTATGAGATACATATAATTATCCCCAGGATGTAGTCAAGTAACTGGCTTTTTTTTTTTTTTTTAAATTAGAGGTAGGGTCTTGCCCTGTCACCCAGGCCAGAGTACAGTGGCAGGATCACAACTCACTGCAGCCTTGAATTCCTGGGCTCAAGTGATCCTCCCACCTCAGCCTCTTGAGTAGCTAGGACTAGCGGCATGTCACACCACACCTGGCTAATTAAAAACTTTTTTTTTTTGTAGAGATAGGGTCTCACTTTGTTGCCCAGGCTGGTCTCAAGAGATCCTCCTGCCTCGTCTTTCCAAAGCATTGCGATTATAGGCATGAGCCACTGTACCTGGCCTGAGCTTCTCAGAGATCTTGTAATCATTTTAAGGTGTATTATGTCAATCCCTGACCCCTAGCCACCCAGCCCCCTCCTGCTTAAAACTCCTCGATGGCTCCTTATTGCTGTCAGGGCAATGACCAAGTTCCCTACATGGCTCATAAAATGGCCCTACTACCTCACAACCTTTTCCCCTTCCACTCCCTGCTCATGCCCCAGTCCCCAGCCACACTGATCCATGGAAGCCTGTGGAACACAGCACGTTTTCACTTCCCCCCGGTCTTTGCTTGCACTGTTCCCTCTTCCTAGAACTCCTTCCACCTGTGCCTTTCCTCTCCTGGCTGACTCGTCCACACTCCAGTGTCAGCTTCGATGTTTTTCCTCTAGGAAGCCGTTCCCAGTCCCTAGAGATCTGGGCTCGACTGCTTAGGTTCAAATATGCCCCACTGCTTACTAGTTGTGAGACTTCAGACAAGTTTGATAATCTGCCTGTGCCTTTATTTCTTCAGCCATAAATGGGGAATATAGTTCCTACATTATGTGCCTGTTCAGTGAACAAGTGAGTTATTACACATAAAGCATTCAGAACTGTGCCTGACACATAGCAAATCCTCAGTCAATGTAGTCTGTTGTTATTCTATGTGTCTCAGGCATGCAATAATACCCACTTTGCAGCACATTCCCTGCTGACTTTTCTATCTCCTTTAAAGTTCCCTAAGAGCAGACTGTCTTGTTCACCCGGTGTGTATCTCAGTGCCCAGCATGTTATTTTCTCTAGAGTAGGTACTCAATAATAAATATTTGTTCAATTTTCTGACTTAATAGTTCATTTTTATTAATTATTATTCATAGAAACTATCTCTGGACCAACACTGCCTAACTTATCTGTATGCACCTACACTGAGAGGCTTCAGGCTGTCAGTAACAACCTGTCCACAGACCATGGCATTAGCACAACACGTAGATCAAAGACCAGAGCTCCAGCTCTGCATCCACGCATAAACTTCAACAAGCCCTCAACTTTCTGAGCCTGTTTCCTCATGTGGAGGGGATAAGATCAAACTCACAGGGCTGTGTGAGAATTAAGTGAGAGATACAACATGCGGAAATACAACATAGACAGTGAAATACCAGTCAATATGGGACATCTGTATTAAATGCTGCAAATCTGACAGCATTTTATAAGATGGCGAGGTTTCATTTACCCCAAGCTAGTTCCAGAAAATGCCTATTTTAGGCTGCCAAGACTATTTTAAAGAAGAATGCAACAAAAATGCCCATTTGCCAATGTTTTGAGAGGCTAGATGTTTCATTCTTTGAACTGGGGCTCTCTTTGGAGGCAGAAGAGAGAATGTGCCAAGCCCAACACCTTCCCTGTCATCTATCCAGTTGCAGAAGAGCTGGTGCCCACTAACCTGTAGAGCTGGTGATGGGCACAAAGGCTGCAGGGTTAAGGCTGCTCTGGAGTCCATTCAGCTGCCCTTCCGCGGAGGACCCTCTGAAACACAAAGGAGCTTGGTCAGACCTGCAGGCGGAAAGGTGAGGTCAGGTGCAGGACCTCTGATGGCTTCGCTTCTTGCTCTTGGTGCTGCTTCTCCTGTGGCTCATTCACTCACTTCCTTCAAGGCTTTGTTCAAATGTCACCTTATCAGAGAAGACTCTATGACAAACCTCCACACTTCTGAAATAGTATATATTTTGAGATTTATTGTTAATTTCTCCCTACTGAAATGTAGTATCAAGAAAGCATGGGCCTTCATCATTGCTGTGTCTCCAGTGCCTAGAATAGTGCCTGACACATAACAAGTACTCAATAAATAGTTGTTTATTGAAGGAAAAAATTATATTTCTGGCATTGACTTACCTAAATCATATGAAAACACATTTTTAAAAAAGCAAGTCTCATGTGGAAGAGTGGTTTTCAACTGGGGAAGTGGGGAAGGAGAGATTATGTGTCCCCTGAGCCAACCAGGGACACCCAACAATGTCAAAACATCTGTGGTTATCACAACTGTGGGGTGCTACTGGCAGCTAGCAGGCAGAGGCCAGGAATACTGCTACGCATTCCACAGCACACAGGAAAATGCCCCAAACAAAGAATTATCTACTCCATGGTGTCAATAATCGCAAGACTGAGAAATGTACACAGCATCTCCCCTCATGCCAACTTTGACAAGAGATATGACAGAGTATATCTGATTCTTTGGGCAGAGGTTCCCTAGCCATATGTCTCAGAAATCCTAGGACTAGTCTGATGCCCTACAGCCCAAGTCAAGCCTCCCTGTTAAAGGCGCTTACAGCTCTAATTCCTTCTTTGCATTTTTCAAAATTATAATTATGAAACTGTGTAACTGGTTGCTTAGTATCCATCACCCTTGCTAGAATGTAAGCTCCATAATGACAGAGATTGTATTGGTCTTATTCACTGCTGCTGCATTTTGCACACATCAAATATTTATAAATTTTTTTGAAATATTTGTAATATTTTTGTTGTATATTTATAATATAATATTTTTGTTGGGTCTATCTGCCTTGATTTTAGTTGATGTGTAAAAGTTGTACCTGAGAGATCAAAGCTTTCAACATGCTCAGTTCTTTGTTTTTGTTGAGCAACATCCAACCCAACCTTTAGTATCTCTCTCCCGACACTATTTTTCCAGTCAGTCATTCACACAAGAAATATTTATCAAGCATTTCCTGTGTTCTGTACTAGTGAGGAGATACGTTAAAGCACGTACATAAAACACAAAGTGTGTGCTAAATGCTAAAGAGAAAAAGCACACAGTGTTATGAGAACGAGGCAGGGGAACCTGGTTTAGATGATGAGAACAGTGGTCAAGGATGGTCTTTCTGTGGAAATAATTTCAAGGGAGTCATGAAGTTAGGAGAGGTAGGCATTAGCCAGGAGGAGGGAGAGGAAAGAGCGTTTCACGAGGAAATTGCATATATAATGACTCTGAGGCAGAAAGGGGCTTGGAATGTCCCAGGAACCTTTAAAGACCAGCTAAGGAGATAGGATAGGGGTGGGGACAGTCAGGCAGTGTTTGCTGAATGTCTTTGACAGGAATGACCTGGGGTCACTTGTTAATCACACAGCTTTCCAGGTGAGCCTGGGGACAGTGCCCCAGGTGCCCAGGTGATTCATATCATCATTGGCTAGTAGGTAAAGAGCAAAGTGGTATGAGGTGCACCTGGAGAGTCAGGTGGTGTCTGAGGTGCCCACACAGTCCCTACAACCCTGAAAGAGACATGCCGCTTGAGAAGATTCTAGCCCAGCATTGGCGCAAGGATCAGACTGTCTCATAGCCCCTCCCCTCTGGCAAGCAATTTGGGGCCTACCCTCTCCTTTCCACTTTCATTTTGAGGACAAGGGAGCCACAGAGGCAGGAGAGAAAGGGGCAGAGAGCTTCTCCCTTTTCCCATCAGCCTCGGCCTTGGACAGCCACATCGGAAATCCTCACGCATTTTATTTCAGCCCCTTATGGGACCCAAAAACTCTCCCAAAGCATCTGTAGATGATGTTTGCTCTTCCATGTCCAAGTGAAAAAGTTCTGGAGGGCCTAAGATAAGCTCTTTCCTTTACAGAAGTTAAAAACCATTAGAGCCACTGTGCTTGCTTTAGGAGCAGCTGAGTGGAGCAAAGCCCTGGGCTGGTCTCAATTTCACAAAGTATTAGTGGTTTAAAAAAAAAAAAAAAAAAAGGGAAGAAGCCGGCAAAATCTTTGGGTCAGTAGTAGAAACTGGTAGTGAATAATAGAAAACTGCTTGAGGGATGAGAAGAGTCCCTGGGGGCTTAGACTCAATGAATTCTGGGTCTTTAAAACTCTTGAAACTTTTCCCTCTCCTCTCTGGAACCCCCAATCCACCCTTCACCTTCTTAGGCTTTATCCCGTTCTTTACTGAAGATCCTCTAACCCTATGGTCCCTGGTTCCCAGTTTCACTCACTCTTCCATCCTCTTCCCTCCCATCAACTCCCATCAAAGGCCTTGGAGACCACCACAGATTCAGAATTTGAACACTTCTAATGATTCTACTGCTTCTAGCATAGAGTCCCCATTCTCCCTGTGATGTAGAAATGTGTCCACAGCAATCCAAGGGGAAACTTTTGAGTGAATTTTTCCATGGAAACACTGGTACACAAAATGGTTTAGGTCTGTTATTACTACTTTAGGCACATTATGGGTAAATATGCTTTTGTTGTGATAACATCATTTCCTTGGGAAAATATATTCCAACTTCTGGACAACCTTCCCCTAAATGAGAACTTTTGAAACTCAGCTTGTCTAGAGCCTGCATGTCAACTTGCACTTGCCCCTGCAATGATTCTTTGCTGCTTTCCTAGGAATACATGTGTTTTAGGAAATATTTACGTTGGGAGGTATGTATGTGTTCCCTTGGTTGTCTTTAAGTCAGTTACTATGGTTTAACACCTGGATAACAAGACCTACCTTATAGGCTTTTGAAGACTACGTAAGATGGTGAATATAAAGCACATCTAAGCAGTGACTGGTGTTATATTATGGACTAAATATACATGAACTATTACTAGTAGTAGTATTGTCATTTTTTACTTAGCAATACTGCTTAACACTCTCTGCATTCACTATAAGTCTATCTACATACAGAAATATCAAATTGAATGACTCATTGACTCCAACATCAGTCTGAAATATTAGTGCTAAACTACAGAAGAATGGCCATAGGCATTCTGAACCTGGAAGTTAACAGCAATTTGCTATTAAAGTTACAAGGTAATTAACTGGCAGCCTATAAGACAAAAATCTCATAGTAAAAATTATTCTTAAGATCCCTTAGGAAGAGACGCCACATTTGAGATTGACAGGTTATCTCTTAATAAATCTAATATGTATTTTTCTGCCAGTGTCAGAATGATTTATTCAACTGTGCACCAAATGAAGTAGGTTTGTATTTAGAAAAGTAGGCTTGTATTATGGGATCATGTTGTATAAACTATGTATTTTTATTTTTACTTTTTTGAGACAGGGTCTTACTCTGTCACCCAGGCTGGAGTGTAGTGGCACAATCACAGCTCACTGCAGCCTCAACTTCCTGGGCTCAGGTGATCCTCCTATCTTAGCCTCCCAAGTGGCTGGGACTACAGGCGTGTGGTACCAGGTCTGGCTAATTTTTGTATTTTTTGTGGAGACAGAGTTTTGCCATGTCACCCAGGCTGCTCTCAAACCCCTGGGTTCACACGGTCTGCCTGCCTTGGCCTCCCAAAGTGCGGGGACTATAGATATAAGCCACTGCACCTGGCCTAAAATATGTATCTTTAAGCGTGAGAATAAGAGTGCAGTGGGATGCCCTTGCTATAAGAAAGTCCCACGGGAACTGAAACTGACTGACTGGAGTGATATTTCTCCCATCTTATCCTAAGTGTAAAATCAATTGGAATCAGCCACTTTGTTGAAATTACAATCAATTTCTCTCTGAATAGCTGAATGTATAAAGTTAAATATGTGTGTGATACAGTTCCATTATCTGATGTTCTCTGGTCATAGTACACCAGAATATAAAGAAGTGGCTAAAGATGAAGTTAGAAAAACTGGAGTTATAGAAGTATCAAGAGCTTGACAGTGAGAAATACTGAAAAGATGGGACAAAAGGTGCCATTAACTTTACACTACACAAAAGTTAGAGTTCAAACATGAGAAGAGTGATAGATGTGAATATCTAGTCCTTAATTGTTCTTCTTGGAAATGGTACAACTGTCTAGGAGATGGAAAGCTGCTTGATGTAGTGAAAGGTTGAGAGTAAGAAGCTTACTACAATCTCAGCTCTGGTAATGGTCTTATTTAGGTTCTTCTCTGAGGATAAACTGTCAATGATTATTAAAAACTGCTTAAGCCAGGTGCGGTGGCTCACACCTGTAATCCTAGCACTTTGGGAGGCTGAGGCAGGAAGACCTGAAGTCAGGAGTTTGAGACCAGCCTGGCCAACATGGTGAAACCCCATCTCTACTAAAAATACAAAACTAGCCAGGCGTGGTGGCTCATGCCTGTAAAACCAGCTACTTGGGAGGCTGAGGCAGGAGAATCACCTGAACCCAGGAGGCAGAGGTTGCAGTGAGCCAAGATTGCGCCATCACACTCCAGCCTGGGTGACAAGAGTGAAACTCCCATCTCAAAAAATAAATAAATAAATGAATAAATAAAAATAAAATAAAATAAAAACTGCTTAAGAGCACACTGCCTGATTAATTTAGCCACTTAAAAACTATAATAAGACACATGACCACATATAGTAGCAACAAAGAATTCGAAGAACTCAATGAACAGTCGCATGCTCCTCTCTATGAAGGCAAAATCTCTTTCCTTGGGACATGTTCACAGCTGGCAGCTAAAGAGTTTACCTAAATATTACATGTACACTTCCTAACCCTGAATTTGACTCACTTGCTTCACATCTATCTACTCATCTTGCCTCTGCCATTTTTCTGAGGTCTGAGAAAGCACCTCAAATGAGCATTATTCCTACTCTGAGGGAACAGCTCTCCTGTGCCTTTCAAAGAAGTTGTTCAAAGATGCATTAAAAACAAATAATATCCTTGTAAGATGAAATGCCTGTATTTCATCTTATAGGGATATTACATCCTGTATTAATTATTTTGAAAAATTTTTTCTAGTACAAGTCTCTATTTAAGGAATATAAGCCAATCAACTGGCTGGCTAGGAATTCCACTGGCATCAAGACCACACCATATAGCCAGCCTATATAACTATATAACATATATTTATACATAAAACCCAGTCCAGGAGGGTTATAATGAGCAATAGCCCCACCATCCCTTTTGCTGGTAAGGTTTCTGACATGTTTTTCGTGGATCTTCATTTCTTTATTTGTGGTTTCCTCTGTTCTTCTTTTGCCCATTATTTTGATCAGTGGAAACTTTTCTGAAAGCGATATGCTTTCTTTAAGGTCTGTTTTGTTCATTACTTCACAAGGTTGACTGTGGTTTGCTGCTATATTATTTCTGTTTGGGTTCTTTTCAAGGCTTTCCACATCCCCAACACAGGGGTACTAGTTTTCTATTTCAATGGTTTAGTATAAGTTTATCTTGGACTCATGCCACCACATCAGAGATGACCTTTCTGTAGAAGGAAGGACTCACAAAAGGAAAATGCTCAAGATTTTACAGGAAGAGCAAAGCTACAAATGCTGATCTTACCAGGGCTGTGGCAAAACAGACATGGCTGCATCTGTGAAGGTGCTGAAAACAAACACCCCCAAACCTGATCGTTTTTATAAAATACAGCAATAACCAACCTCTTTCAATTCCCAAGAAAAAAGAAACAAAACAAAACAAAAAATACATACCCTGACTTTTCCTACCAAACATTTACTCATAGTAAGTAGCCTACAATTTTCGACATATCCACACACACACAGGTATACGCTGCTTCTTCCTTTTATCTCTCAGTCTAGGGTTTATGATTCTGAAATGGAAGTTAATGCTAATCCTTAGAAAATAACAATTAGAACATTATTAATTAGGGTCAGGTTCCAAAACCAAATCATGAAACATTTAGTGAAGTCAACTTTTGTGCAGTAAAGGCACTCAGGACTCCATTTTATAAATATACTGCATATTATCTATTCCCCCGTATTTCTGGTTATAGTCCTCTTCATTCCTGAGTAGGCCCTTTTCTCTTTTTATTCATTAGTCTTTCCAGAGGCCATCCCAGTACTTGTCAATTTCATTCGTTCCTTCAACAAGTATTTAATGACCCCCTACCACATGCCAGATACAGTTGGAAGCACTGTTCTCTAATGTTCTGCCATGCACCTGACTGTTGTAGATTTCTGTATTTTTTTCCTTTCTATATTTTAATTAGTTTACTCTGTTGTCCTTTCATAGCTTTTCGAATTAAACAATTAACTCACTTATTTTTAATCCTTCTTGTCTTTTAAATAAATGTATTAAGAGTTTATTTTTGAGTGCAGTTTTGGTTATTCCACAAATCTGATGTGTAGTACTTTTAGAGCCATACAGTTTAAAATATTTTATAATTTTCATTATGATTATCTCTTTAATGCATGAGTAATAGGTACTCTATTTTTTTAAAATTTCCAACACATGGATTTTTTTTAAAAAAAAACCTCTTTTTATTATTTCTAACTTAAGTGCTTTGTGGTTGAAGAGTGTGAACCGTTTGATATTGATATTTTGAAGTGCACGGAGCCTTCATTTGTGACATAGTATGTGCTGAATTTTTATAAACATTCCACATATACTCGAATACCATTGAGTGCAGGAGTCCATGCATAGCTGTAACTGCTTTTCAGGCTGTGAGCTGTGATTCATAATTGGGTTGTAAAATGAATTTCAGGGCTCAGAATCAGCGTTAAAAAATAGAAGACAGTATTTAGTGAAATTTTAATTGCACATACACACATACATATAGATAAGTATTTTTGCTGGGTTGCATATAAAATGTTTTTTCTTTTTTTAGATCATTTCGCCCATGACATACCCCTCAGGAAGTCCTGAGAACATGTGCCCCTAAAATGTATTTTCTATTTTAAGTGCTGGTCCAAAAAGATGAAAACCCACTTATTAAAGCAAAATGTTAATTCTGCATTTCAAATATTCAAGTCTTCAGTAATTTTTGAGTTGTTACTGACAGAAGTATATTCAAATAAATTACCCACTAATATTAATGATTTGCAAGTTTCTCCTTATAATTTTGTCAGCTTTTGGTTTCTATATTTTTAAGTTTATGATGTTAAGTGCATACAAGTGCTTTTCTTTATTCCTTAGTGATTTTTGCTATATTTTATCTGGCATTAATATTGCTATACCAGTTTTCCTTCTGATTAGTATTTCATAATTGCTCTTTTCCAACCTTTTATTGTCTATCTTTTGTTGATATTTTACTTTATGTATGTCTCTTTCATGTAGCCAATAACTTAAGTTTTTAAAAAGATGCAATTTGATCATCTCTTTTTTAATGGAAGAGTTTAATTTGTCAACATTTATTTTGGTTACTTGTATATTTGGACTCATTTCTACTATCTTAGTTTTTGTTTTCTATTTATCATCCTTTTCTTTTGCTTTTTTTTGAGACAGAGTCTTGCTCTGTCGCCCAGGCTGAAGTGCAGTGGCGTGTGATCTCGGCTCACTGCAACCTCAGCCTCCTGGGTTCAAGAGATTCTCCTGCCTCAGCCTCCCGAGTAGCTGGGATTACAGGCATGCGCCATAACGCCCAGCTAATTTTTTGTATTTTTAGTAGAGATGGGGATTCACCATGTTGGCCAGGCTGGTTTCGAACCCCTAACCTCAGGTGATCCACCTGTCTTGGCCTCCCAAAGTGCTAGGATTACAGGCATGAGCCACTGCGCCCAGCCTCCTTTGCTTCTAACTTTCCTATCTTCCACTGAATTAATAAAGTATCTACATTTCCCTTTCCCTGCTCTATTGGTTTGAACACTACAGCCTGCATCTTAATTATTTAGCTATTTTTTCCTAAGTGTAAAGTCATTCAGTATTTCTGTCCTGACCTCAAAGTCGACACGGACCCTTATCAGTTAAATACTCTAGGTCCCTGTATCTTATCTTTGTTATCTCTAAATGGTTTTCATCTTCTTAAAGACCAATAATTATTTTATAGTCATTAACATTTATTGACATTTTACGGATTTGTTGTATTTCATTGTTTCTTGTTGCCTAATACTTCTGGATTCACTTCTATCTCTATACAGTCTTTACTATTTCCTAGTTTGAATTTCAGGTATACTCTTAGACTTTGAATGTCTCAAATTATTTTGCCTTCACTATTTTTTTTTTTTTTTTTTTTTTTGAGATGGAGTCTCGCTCTGTTGCCCACGCTGGAGTGCAGTGGCACGATCTTGGCTCCCTGTAACCTATGCCTCCCAGGTTCAAGCAATTCTCCTGCCTCAGCATCCTGAGTGGCTGGGATTACAGGCGTGCGTCACCCCGCCCAGCTAATTTTTTGTATTTTTAGTAGAGATGGGGTTTCAACGTGTTAGCCAGGATGGTCTCGATCTCCTGACCTCGTGATCCGCCCACCTCGGCCTCCCAAAGTGCTGGGATTACAGGCGTGAGCCACTGTGCCCAGCCGCCTTCACTCTTGAATGCCAGTTTAGCTATGTATAAAATTCTAGACTGAAAGTTTATTATCAACACTTCGAAGTAATTGGCTACTGTTTTCTAGCACTCATTATTGCTGAGGAGAAGAATGCTGGTACTCTGTGTTCCTTTGTCATTTACGCAGATTTTCTCCCTGGTAATATTTAGACTTCTCTCTACGCTTAATGTTCTGGTTTCTTGCTACTATGATGTGTCTAGAGGTACATTTATTTTGGTACATGAATGAATTTTTTAGCTGAGGACTCATGTCTTCTTCAATTCTGGAAAATTCTGTCATTTTCTAAAAGCGTTGCTTGTCCAATTATCCTTTAGGTCTTTTTTGTGATACTCCTATCAGAGTCACATATCATGTTCCACGAGATACTCCTATTAGACACATGATCTAACATGTCTGACTGTTTTAAAGTATTAATTTATCTGTAAAGAATTCACGTTCCAGTTCTTGATTTTCCTGGCAATCTTTCTTAGAATTAGATTTTTTCATGTGTTTTGGAATTTTGGTTTGCGGGCTTATTTTGAATGGGAATCATTCCCCGCCCTGGTCTCTGTGCTTGCTCATTCCTCCGTGTCTGAAGATTATATAGTTGCCTTCACCCAGACCCCTGACACCAGCCCCAAACCAGGCATTATGGTGGCATTTTGGGGCACTTGCCTCAGTGATATTTAGAAACCAAAGGCAGTTTTGAGACAGGAACAGTTGGAAGGGTATGTCATTGCCTTCCTGACTCTGTAAGGCCCATAGTCTCATATAAAGACAGACTCAGTTAGTCGGTTCATGCCAGTTTTACTACTCTCCCATTAGGAGGGCACACTGCATCCTTCAGTGCAGGGTTTTCAACCTTGCCACTACTGACATGTTGGGCTGGATAATTCTTTGTAGTGAGGGACTGTTCTGCGCTTTGCAGGATGCTCAGCAGGATCTGTAGAGTCTACCCACTAGATGCCAGTCGCACTCCCCCAGTTATGACAAGTATAAATGTCTCCAGATATTGCCAAATGTCTCCTGGGGGGGAAACTGTCCCAGGTTGAAAATCAATTATTTTCAAGTAATGAGCGTGGCTTTAGGTTCTCCTCTTGTAGGGCACTTTCAGCTCCCAATATGACACAGGAGCTTGCCACTGCCTGCTTCAGAAAGCCTGTAGCTTCAGCTTCATTCATTGATTCTCGTTTATTTTGGTATATTTTGGGGCCAAGGAGATATGTGCCTTGTTTTGAAGCACAGCTAAGTCCCGTAGGTTTTCTTCTTTAAATGTTCATCCATCATAGCTATGTATTTGCAGCACAGGGGGGAAATGGATGTGAAAGTGTGAACTTTGGGAGCCAACTGGCCTGGAAGTCAGTAACTCCAAATCTAATTTTTTCTTTTGTTTGAAACTGAGCCTTTGTCTTCAATTGCCTTTAGAGTTATTAGTGTTGAGGAAATCAGAATATGTTTAAATTTCCACAGGCTCACCAGCAGAACCAAATCACACTTATAAATAACAACCTACCAACAAAACAAATGTGATTTCTTTTAGTAGGAAACAAGAGCAGCTGCAGAATACAACTACGCTGACCAGCAGACATTGGATGCAATATATGTCAGGGAAACACATTATCTCATTTAACCCTATGAACAACTCCAAGACATAAGTGATATTTTATAGATAATGAAACAGAAGCTTAGTGCTATCTCTAGAAAAGTTAGTTAAGCCAAGGAACCAGAATCCGAATCCCATTTCAAATTCCAGGCTATTAACAACTGTACTCTACTGTCTCCCATACGCTACTCTACAAGGCATAAATAATGAGATCATTGTTATTTACTGATCTTTGATGCATATGACTTGACACAGAATACCATGTCACCACCACCACTGCCATCACTATCTCCACCACTTCCATCTCCACCATCACCACTGCCATTTGCTGAGAACTTACGAATATAAGCTATCTCAGGCACTGGGAATGAGTTTATCCCTTCTCTCAAAAACAAACCATGCAAGCAGAGATCTGATCTGTCTTGTCCACTGGTGTTATCACCATTGGACACTGCTGTCTAGGGCAATGTTGAGCAAAACAGACATTCAATATATATGTGATGAAAGGGTGAAGACAGGGTATCTGTCTTTGAGAGAGCTATAGAAAGCAGAACATATGAAAAAAGGAAAAATAAAACCAGGAGGTAGATGGCAGAGTCAGATGAGGAGGTGACGAAGGGGCAGCTGGGAAGGATGCACCAAGGTGAGACACTAAAACCCAATCTTGAATTAAAGGCAGGACTTAGGTTCAAGAGGCCTAAGGGCACTCTGCAGAGATGACATGGATATGTAGGAACAAAGAATGGGAAGCATGTGTGTGGAACAGTCTGTGTGCAAAGCGGTGATAGAGTATGAAGAAGGCAGGAGACAGGAGAGAGGTCATATTGCAGAAGGCTTGAATGTCAGAGTCAGGACTCTCAACTTTATCTTGTGCGCACCTGGAAGCCTCCAAAGATTTCAGAAAAATGGGCCAGGTGCAGCGGCTCACGCCTGTAATCCCAGCACTTTGGGAGGCTGAGGTGGGCAGGTCATGAGGTCAGGAGATCAAGACCACCCTGGGCAACACGGTGAAACCCCGTCTCTACTAAAAATACAAAAAATTAGCTGGGCTTGGTGGTGCATGCCTGTAGTCCCAGCTACTCTGGAGGCTGAGGCAGGAGTATCGCTTGAACCTGGGAGACAGAGGCTGCAGTGAGCCAAGATCGCGCCACTGCACTCCAGCCTGGGTGACACGGCGAGACTCCATCTCAAAAAAACAAAAACAAAAACAAAAAAGATTTCAGAAAAATAGTTTGAAGAACTATTTTGGAGACGATTTTTAAAAATGGTTCCTGGGCCTACTCATGTGTTTAAGAAGAACCAATTTAGGCAGTTTGAAAATTTCCACTTGTTCTATGTTCTAGTTAAATCTTCTTTTTCTTCAAGAAGAACCAATTTATACTTGATATTTTTCAAAATATTATCTTTCATCTAGTTTTTAAAATTGTACATAGTGTGCCGTGTTCTCCTAATTTTTCAGTCTCTTCTATATCTACTTTTAAAGTATTTTTCTTATGTTTACTGCTCTTATTCTTCTGGCAGAAGTATGTTTATTTTCTTCTTCTGGGTTCCCCTGACCCAAACTAAATAAGGTTTTGAACTTAACTAATTTTACTGCTTGCTTTTCACTTTATATTACTTTTCTTCTTAATTTCCTTAAATCTGTTTTTCTTAGCTTTGTTTTATGGTTCCTTTTCTAACTTCATGTGATAAAAGCTTACTTCAGTTATGACAAATATGCGGCCTATTCACGACTCTCAGCATCTTCCCTATGTGTGGCGGATGCTACTAACCTATCAAAGCACTCTTTTTTGCTGAGCTCAGGGAAGTCCTCATGGGTCTTTCCAAAACAACACTGGGCAATCACCTGAAGCCAGTTTATCTATTGAAGCCAATTTACCATTTGTATCTTGGTTAATTTCTTTTTCATCTTTCAGTATTTTAGTAATGAAAATGATGAAGATTATGAATTTACCTTTGAGTACATCTTTGACTCCCTCCCTCCCTCCCTTCCTTCCTTCTTTGACAGATTACCTTTGAGTATATCTTTGCCTGACCTCCTCCCTCCCTCCCTCCCTCGCTTCTTCCCTTCCTTCCTTCCTCTTTTTTTTTTTTTTTTTTTAAGAGTCTCGCTCTGTTGCCCAGGCTGGAGTGCAGTGGCGCAATCTTGGCTCACTGCAACCTCCACATCCCAGGCTCGAGCGATTCTCATGCCTCAGCCTCCTGAGTAGCTGGGACCACAGGAGCCATGCCACCACGCCTGGCTAATTTTTGTATATTTTGGTAGAGACGGGGTTTTGCCATGTTGGCCCGGTTGGTCTAGAACTCCTGACCTCCGGTGATCCCCACCTGCCTCGGCCTTCCAAAGTGCTGGGATTACAGGTGTGAGGCACCGCACCCAGCCTTTATATTTAATATCTCATTTTATTGTAAAGTGGTCTGAGAATGAGGCATGTATAATTTCTACTTTTTGAGGACTTAATTGAAACGTTCCAGTTTAGAAAACTATTCCACAAGATCTCTGTAGGGCACAAAGTTATGTATCTATTGATTTAATCTTATTAACTAATCCCTTTATGTCCTTATCTTGGGTCTTTTTTGCCTATACTACTGACTATTATTTCTATTCTCTTTCTGGAATTTGTTATTTTAGGTTGAATCTGTCTTTTCTGTCATCAGTTTTATCTTTGTATACTTCCTCCTCAAATTTTTGGCATTTGTCTTTTAGTTTGCGAATTCAATTTTCTGCAGTGGCCAATTTCTATTCACTGTGTTCAGCCCAATTTTTCACTTACGTAGTTCTCATCTCTGTGCAATCCTCCCTGACTGCAGGCCCCTTGCTCCTTTTATATGATAGCTTTGTCTAGTTCTCCACACAGATGCTCTCTACTCTTACATTTTGTTAAGAATACACATTAGGTATTTTCTAAAATGTTATTATTTCTTGCTTAAACTCATTCCAGAGGTTAGAAGCCTCTGAATCTTCTCCATGAAGCCTTCTTTTTTTTTTTTCGGAGACAGTCTCTCTCTGTTGCCCAGGCTGGAGTGCAGTGGTGTGATCTCAGCTCACTGCAAATCTCTGCCTCCCAGGTTCAAGCGATTCTCCAGCCTCCGCCTCCTGAGTAGCTGGGATTACAGGCACCTGCCACCATGCCCAGCTAATTTTTTGTATTTCTAGCAGAGACGGGCTTTTACCATGTTGGCCAGGCTGGTCTCGAACTCCTGACCTCATGACCCACCCGCCTCGGCCTCCCAAAGCACTGGGATTACAGGCATGAGCCACCATGCCCAGCCTGAGCCACTGTGCCCAACTGAAGCCTTCTTTTAAGCTATACCACCTATTGCCAGGCCCCAAGATATTCCAGTATTTGCTCATCCTTAAAGAAGGTCTAAATTTGCCAAGGGCTTATATTCACGGAGAAACTGATGTGGATGGATTCTGTCAGAGGTTAGCATAAATTCCTGCCAAAATCTTTTAAAAAAGCGTTTTCATACTCAGGTGAAGGACGAGGGAAGTGAGGGATGGGAAATATCCAGCAGTTATATTACCATTTCGACAACCATTTTAACATCCCAGGAGGCAGGCATGAGAAGTCGGATTTTAATTTAAATTATGCCAATATGAATCAGCAAGGGAAGACCCATCATTCCATGACTCTCATGTAGCTTTCCTCCCCAATGAGACACACACCATCACGCAACTTTTGATTAGGTGTGGTTGTAGCACCCATCCCTCTGACTGACGTCACTGTCCATGCCAAAAGCAACCCCAGAGACCTCCTAATGCCACCACTGAGGTCCAAATGACGAGGATTACTAGAAGACAGAGAGTCTAAGTGGCAGAGCTCCTGACTGGCGCTCATGTCCTTTCTACCCTCAGGCCCTGCCCCTCAGAGTCAGAGGGTATTATTGTCTGCAGTATTCCAGGTTTCCCTTTCATTTCCTAGAATGCACTCTCCCAGAAGACACTATACAAAAGCCCTCCATGTTGTTCTTCAATCCAGTCTTCCTGTGCTACATCTAAAAGAAATTCCCCCAGCACCTCTAATACGAGTGGCATTAATTCTTCCTCCTTTTGAGTATTTCATTTTCAGTATTTCCTGGTCATTTAAGTGGTAAAACTGGTATGGAAAAAGAGAGGAGTGAGTTCCTAAGTGCATACATTGTATTTTCTTCAAAAGCAATATTTTAGGATAATTGATCTGCCATTTGCTGTACAGACAGATATAGATGAATAGATTGGCAGGGACCTTTGAAATCAGTGATGTAGGGGGAAGAGTCTGAGGTGAGCACAGCGGGTCATATAAGTTCCAGTTTGAGCTCAGCCACTGAACACCTGCGTACCTTGTTGTACTCATATCCCCACAACTATGCCTCCATCCCTTTATCTTCTACCAAAAACATTTTATAATTACCTACCTTGGAAATGCATAATGTAGAGAAGCCTGTATTAAGGATGAATATGTTATAGATTCAACTATGTTTCTTGAAACTGCACATAATAAAAAGCTGGCAGAACATGGTTAACACACAATATGGTATCTTCTATGCTCACCTCAAGAACTTTTGGACAATTATTAAGTCCTAATTACTTTGCCCTTAAATCTTCTCACTTTAATGACTCATATGTTAAAAAGATATAACATTTTTTAAGCCGGTGTTTATTTTCATATTCTTCTGACATTAATCTCTTAAACATCTTTCATCATACGGCTGACCTCACCACATGTTCAGGTAACATTAATTGGGATTTGGTGCTACCAGGCTACCCAGTCCTGATGGCTTTCCTCCCTGCTAATCCCTGGCAGCCTTAACAGACACCACTGTCCTGGGTGCTGACACAGAACAGTCGTTACCACCAACTTCCACTCAGGTCACCCTGATGAGAATCACCTAAGCCCAGGGTAAAGAAGGTCATCTCAGCTATTTAAGGAAAAGTACTGCAGTTCAGTCTGTGTTTCTTAAACAGTTTTCTTTCTTCAGAGAAGTCTCCCAGGTTACAACATCTTTGGCCCCACCCTTTCAAATTCATTCAGTCTGAGTTTTGCCCTTGTGCCTGGCAAACTTCAATCTCCTCAGGTTTCTTTCTCCATATTTCCTGGAGAGTATGATTCTGGCTCTGAAAAAAGCTCATTTACAAGAGACAGTTCAGATGCATGTAGTTGTTTGTAGGCTGTCGTCCTCAGTTCAGCTGACTGCTTGGAAGAAATACCACAAATAGTTTTGAAAGGAGGATCTGAAGCGGGTACTAAATTATGAAGTGTTGCAAACATTGGAGAAGAAAATCAAGAAAGATTATTGGCACCAGGAAAATGGTAAAAAAAAAAATTTTAAATCATTCCCTTCACAGAACTGACAAATGAGATTTAGCTAAATGAAATACAAGTATATGAATTTGAGAACTACAACAAAGAACTGCTGGGACAAGAGGGGCTGAGGAAAATGGCTTGAAAGCATCAGGATTAAAGAGCAAATGTGCTCATAAAAAAGCTTTCAATGGAATAGACAGAAAACAAGTCATTTTGGTTAATTATTCAGTAGGGACAGTGGGTTTCGTTTTACAGATGGTAAAATGAAACCTTTAGAGGGAAAGCAACTTGAGTATTATCATAAAGAAACAGGACCCCACTGTTCTGATTCTCAACTCCCTTTGCACCAAAATCCAAGTGACATTCCATCTTTAACGTTCTATTCTTCTCTAAACTCAAAACTCAACCCTCTAGGATGTGGAAACTTTGATGCTCTTGGAAATTGCTTCTATATTTGTCTAATGCCAACTTCTGTGCTAGAAGAAGTTTGAAGTTCAACCCAAAAACACAGGGCTTGGCATGGTCAAAAGCTCATTACAACTTCTCATTAGTTGTGTCTCTTGAGGCGACTATGGCATTCCTGAGTGTGACTCAGTATCACCAGTCATAACTGAGGGTTCCTGATTAATCTGAACTGAGCCGGAGTAAAGGCCACAGTAAGATCCAAGCAAATGAAGCAACACATCTTGTAGGAAGAAAGTAAAAAATTTACATGAAAATTTCTTGAAATGCATAATAGTACCTAACACTGATTTAGTATGTATTACATACCAGGCACTGTATTTGTGCTTGACATTCATCAATTCATTTATCTTAATAACCCTATGAGGCAGGTACTATTACTATTCCCATTTTAAAATAGGAAACTGAGTCACAGAGATGTTGAGTAACTTGCTATGCTGGCTAGGAACAAGAATTACTACAGAACAGTGAGAATATATCAACTGATACTCAGGATCCTGATTTCGAGAGCCATGAAAAGCTTCTCTAGATTAAAAAAATTACTTCATCAGTCCAAATAAAGTATGGGGTTTAGTTCATAGTAATGTGCCAATGACAGTTTCCTGGTATGGTACATTCCTCAAATGCCCCATGGCAATGTCAGATGTTAACAATGGAAAAAACACTGGGCAAGTGGTACGTGAGAACTCTCTGATCTCGCTCTGTCACCCAGGCTGGAGTGCAGTGGTACGATCTCGGCTCACTGCAAGCTCTGCCTCCCGGGTTCACACTATTCTCCTGCCTCAGCCGCCCAAGTAGCTGGGACTACAGGCGCCCACCATCATGCACGGCTAATTTTTTTTGTATTTTTAGTAGAGACGGGGTTTCACCATGTTAGTTAGGATGGTCTCGATCTCCCGACCTCTTGATCTGCCCGCCTCGGCTTCCCAAAGTGCTGGGATTACAGGCGTGAGCCACCGCACCTGGCCAGTTTTTTTATTTTAATTAATTAATTATTTTTTTGAGACGGGGTCTTGTTCTGTCACCCAGGCTGGAGTGCAGTGGTGTGATCTCAGCTTACTGCAAGCTCCGCCTCCCAGGTTCACGCCATTCTCCCGCCTCAGCCTCCCGAGTAGCTGGTACCACTCGGGTGCCTGCCAGCATGCCTGGCTAATTTTTTTTTGTATTTTTAGTAGAGACAGGGTTTCACCATGTTGGCCAGGATGGTCTCGATCTCCTGACCTCGTGATCCGCCCACCTCTGCCTCCCAAAGTGCTGGGATTACAGGCGTGAGCCACCACACTTGGCCCAGTTGTTTTTTTTTTTTTAACTTTATCAGGATACTTCATAGGGGGAACTTTTCACTGTTCAGATGAAAAGCCATGCTATTCTTTTTCCTAAAAGTCAGGAGAATATCTGAAAACACTGGGGTCCCCAAAACGCTGTACATTTCACATGTAAGTGAGAGAATGTTCAAGTCTTTATTAGTATTAACTTAGCTTCAGAGACTTGTCCTAGAGTTTTAGAGGCAAATTGGAAACTATTTCCTGGAACAACGCCTCACAGCATGCCTTTTGATACCTGGATTATATTACTTAAATTCTGAAGAAATCTCCGCTTTTTCCCCCCTTCTGTGCATTTTTGATGCTGAGCTGTTTCCGGTTTTCCCACACTCTTGCCTGTCACAAAGAAGAAACCACAAAAATGCTGCAAAGCAAAGTCTGTCCAAAGAGCTGCAATTCCATCTCAGGAGGCTGCAGAGTTCTCCTGCCAGCAGTGAGTTCAGGGCAGTAGCAAGCAGCGTCTTCAAATGTCCAGCCCTGCCGCCTGGGCCCACCTCTCCACCAGCTAGCCACACAGGCCACCAAGGGCCTTCTGAGGGTACTGGCAATAATCAGAGAATCCACAAGGGGCACACTGGCAAATTCAACATTCGCATTTGGCTCAAAAATTTTCCTAGTTAACTACGGGCTTTCCAAATCTGTGAAGGAGAGTGTGGTTTTAGAATGCATATGATGGTGACCAAGGCTTACTGAGCTCTTACCTGGGCCGGGCCTTACTCTATGTACTTCACACATATTAACTCTGTTAACATTTAACAACTGACCTAGGAGGTAGATACTCTTATTGTTTTATTTTTACAAATGGAAACATGAGGAAGCTGAGGCTAGGAGATTAAGTAACTTGTAACCTGCAGAAGGTATCATATTAGTAAAGTGTGGCCTGAGGATGTGAATCCAGGCAGTCTGGCTACAGAGGCTGCAGACCTAAGGATTTGACTCCACTATTTCCAGGGTGAGAAGGCACACATTTCCTATTTTGCTACTGGCATTCAACCACAAACTGCAGCCTTCCTACTGCCCTTTCCTACTACTCCAGAGAGTTCTGCAGTCATTACAATGCCAGCTCTTCCCAGAACAGCGCTTGGTACTTAGTGGGCACTGAATAAATATTTGTTGGATAAATGAATAATGGCAGCAATATAATTAAAACAGCCACAAGGGATTGTTTTCTATCTAAATCCAGAATTTGATTTACCATCCAAGGAGGAAAAAACAGTAATGACTTTTTCTATGTTTTAGGATTCTTCTCACAACTAATATTGATCTTCCGAAGGACAAATGAATGAGAAGCCTCAATGACAGCAAGAGAAATACACAAATGTCTGCGACACAAAAACACAGCAGGCAATGCGTGCCTCTTCCAGACATCTCTAAAAGTTCCCCAAGTTTAAACTGAAGAAGGGCTGCTAGAACCAACGCTCTTCACCAATCTATTTCTAGTTCACTGGCTAAAAAGTGGCTGGAGATACAGTGAAGGATTTTGACTTAACAAAAATTTGACTCAGGAAAGGAAATGTCTTTTTGGTGTAAACAGGTAGACTACAAAAGGTATTAAAAACACTGTTGCTACACAGAGCTTGGTGACTAATGTCAATGAAGTTATATTATCCTCTTAGATGAAATCTCAATCCTGTATCTCCCCTTTCAAATGCCTAAAAGTGAACAAACCAAGGGGAAGCAGGATGTTGAATTTTATATGAAATTGAAAAGATCTGATTCTGCAGGGCCTGTCCCTCCCACAGGGTAAAGCCCTGCCATCTGCTTGTTTCAGTAGTTCCCTGGGTGATTCTAATTTGTAGCCCACGCTGAGAACTAGGGTTAGCCTTTATTTCCCAGCAGGTGTTCTTGTTTCCAGTACTTCAGTACGAACGGTCTTGAAGAGTAATAAATAAAGAGTACTATTAGCTTAGAACTGATAAAACTCAGTAGAAATTGAACAGAAAAAAACTTACTTGGAAGCTTTCTGGGATGTTGCCCTTCTGAGCACTTGTTCGTGGTTGGGTGGGGGTTTGGGAACCAGGGAGGCGCAAGAACTTGGAGGTGGTACCACTTTTTGTGGCAGAGTGGTTGGCTTCTGGCCACTAGCTGTGGCACTGGAAATTCTACAACCTGCACCATTATTCATTGTCCATAAATTGGAGTTAGGTAGTGTCTGGCTGCCAAAGATTGCCTACAAAAAAAAAAGGAAAAAAATGATCGATGGACATCACCTTCACAACCCATTTACTGTATGTAACTAGTCTGTAATCCTGTCAAGGGGCAAAAAGAAAAGGACAACTGTTAATTTTTTTTTTAAGGAAAAACTTCTCTAATGTTGCCAGTGCAGCTCTAGATTCAGAGAAGGGGAATATTTTGAAGCAGATTGTTGAAATGGTCTTGTTGAAAGTACACTGGGCTAGGAATCAGGGCACCTGCGATACTAAGTGTTGGTCCACATGCGTGAATTAGAAAAGCATCTGATCTCTCAGTGTAGTTTCCATCATTGTTAAATTCAACACTTTTTTAATGAATGTCTCTTTCGAGGCGTGAAGTACTAGAAATAGAGCACAGAATAAAATTGTCTTGCAGCTTGACTTGATTCCTGCCCAATCCAAAACTCTGAGCTCCTCTAGAAAGTTTGCAGGCAGGAGGCAAGGGGAGGAGTCAGTGTGGCTAAGGCATGGTGAGCAATACAGAAAGATGAGGTTCCTGCGACAGGAACCATGAGCCAGGCCTGGTTATAATCTTGAGGGCTAGTTTAGAATTCTAGCTAGAAACACTTTGTTGACCTAAAGATTAACATAAGATTTTACATTTGAAAGCGCTTTCAAAGTAAAATTACTATACAAATGCTAGTTACATGAATACAATCGACAAATGGATATTTTTGCTCAGAGGGTAAGCCTATAAATAAAGACCTAAAAATCACCATCTAAACATCACAAATGTCAACATATATAATTAGGATGTAAAAGTATTCTTCCTTCAAGTAGATGCTTAAAAAGTTCTTACAACTTATTTATCTCATTAGAAATGGTCTTTTTGTGTCTCAATTTTGTTACTAGTCTTTCAATACTATTAATACTGCTTTCAACATGCATTGTAAAAACTTTAAATGAGAAATAATATTAAGAGAAAAATAACATCATTGACAAAATACATAGTATTTTTTATTAAAACAATTTCTGGCAATTGATTTCCATTTGTACCTACAACATGTAAAGGACTCATGGTGAGGCAGGATGAAATAATATGAGATGCTCTTAGGAAATATTCATCTTCTAGACAGAGTTTGCTAGTATTATTTTTGCCCTTTATGAATTTTATTTTTTCAGATTTAAAAGATGAACTGGGTAATTTTAGTAAAATGTTCACCAACCCTTCTATATGCATGACATAAAATGTCTCATTTTCAGGAAATGTGTCAAAGGTCGTAGGCTAAGCAGATATGAGAGGGGGATCCAGGGGTCTTGTGTGGAGTAAATGTGTTTCACTGAGATGCTTGACAAAGAACAAAGAGATTTCAGAGGTAAAGGGTCTGAGCATTTTCAGTCAGACCAATCTGACTGAGATGTCCCCAACCTGTGTAAACCACCTGAGGGAGAAAGTGAAGAGCTACAATTTTTCTCCATCTCTGATCCACAGAAGAGGAACAAAGACAAAGCCAGGTTCGGTGGCTAATGCCTGTAATCCTAGCACTTTGGGAGGCTGAGACATGTGGATCACCTGAGCTCAGGAGTTCGAAACCAGCCTGGGCAACATGGCAAAACTCTGTCTTTACAAAAAATACAAAAATTAGCTAGACGTGGTGGTGCCTGCCTGTAGTCCCAGCGACCCAAGAGGCTGAGGTGGGAGAATCCTTTGAGCCAGGGAGGTGAAGGTTGCAAAGGGTGAAGACTGCACCACTGCACTCCAGCCTCGGTGACAGAGCTAGACCCTGTCTCAAAAAAAGCGGGGGGAAGAGGAACAAAGACAGATGCAAGGTCATGGGCAAAGCCAGGAGGGCAGCACTGTTGAGCATGTACACATGGGGAGGTTTCCGGATGGTCCAAGAGAATCAAGGAGCCCTGACCCTGCTAAAGCAGGCCTCCTCAGGACAAGGAACCAAAGCTTCCAGCAGGAGGCAGCCTTCTGGGACAGGGTCTACAACAAACCCTTTCTTTGCAGCTGTTGTTTCCATATTTGAGGGCCTTAAAATCTGTGTGAGAAACTCAATTGGAAGTAAAGAGGGACACAGGAACAGGCTGCCCCAGGCTTCTATTTTCACCACTACATCCTAATAATTGAGGTTAGGTGTAAGGAGTGTTTGGGAAGTGCCTCATTCAAGATGGGAAGAGACCAAAAATCAGAATGAGGGCTGAAGAACAGTTCTACACTGAGCCATCCATAAAGAAATTCCCTGGGTGAGTAGTAGAGGAGGGGATAAAATGTTGTTAGTTAAGAGCTCTTGGAAATCAAAATATTCTTTATTAAATTATATATTTAATGTTGTAAGGGAACTGCCATTGGTAAGAACATCTATTCAATAAATGTTGCCACGGTGACAACTATATTTTCAAATTCATAATTTTTTCCCCCAAAATCTGAAACATGTAAATACAAATGAAATAATGAGTGAAAACAGCAGGTTCAGAACAGTGAGTTTAGTGAGCTCCTATTTTTGTTTTTTTTAAAAAGAATACATACACACCATATATATCTATATATGTATGTACACACACTCTCTCTCTCTCTCTCCTAGTATCTGCACAGAACAATTCTGGAAGTATACACAAAAAACTGGTAGCCTTCAGGGAGAAGAATTGGTTAGCTAGGGGTCAAGGCAGGAGGGAGACTAACTTTTTACTACATGTCATTTGTATCTTTTGAATTTCATACTGCGTGCATATAGTTATTTATTACAAAAATAAACTAATTATTTAAAAGACAAAAGAAGTCTAGTTCCAGTAACATTTAAGCAGGTAATACATTATCTGTGAGTACAAATCAAGATACCCAAGTGAAGCCCAAGTTTTAACCAGCTGGGTATAGGATTCCTATTAGATTGGGCTAAAGAAGGAATTAACTGTTCAACACTGGCTAGAAAAGCAGATTAGGTCATCAATGAAAGGCAGAGAGACCCAGAGTAAATGGAAAAGACATGGCTTGCGGTCAAATGTACCTCAGCTCAAATGTAGGCCTTGTCACTTACAAAGTGGGTGATCTTTTCAAGTTAACTTCTCAGAGCTGTCTCATAAGCAGTTAAAATTACTTCACCTTTAGAAGATGAGGAGCTTAATTAAAAAAAATTACTTCATTGGATTTTTGGAGGTCATCATGTAGGTAACCTTAGCCTAGGCATTCAATAAGGATTTCTTGAAATAAAGCAAAGACCTAGGCACACAGTAGGCACTCAACAAATGTTCCATTCCTTCCCAAACCTCTACCTACCTCAGTTCTACTGAGAAACTAAAGGATGGGATGACAGCGAAGTCCACCTATCAGTAATCCTTTGTGAATGGCAGTTGCTTATGCATTTCTTCAAGATATTTTTCCAGACTTATGACACTCACTAGTTGTGAAAGCAAATTCTTAAAACGGAAACATATGTTTAGGCTCCCCAGATCATATTTACTCAATTCTCTCTGGCAGAAATAATCTTTTCCTCTTCTGAATGCTTAGAAAAATGTATTTGTATGACTCATCACAGTACATTCTACCATGTATTATAGCCACTTACGTGTGTACTTTTTCTCCCTTCTGGGTGATTCACACTGGAAATGGCTGAATTTATATATGATTAATTTTAGTTTCCCCTACAGTGACTAGTAGAAAGGTGCTTAATAAATGGAAAAAATTAAAAATTAAAAATAAAAACACCAATCCCAACTATTCATCTTTTTTTTAGCAAAAACTAAATTCCTACACAACAAAATAGGCAAATGTGTATTTATATCCAGATGTAATCTTGTAAAAGGACCATTTTCTGGACTTTAAACAGTGCCTAGTGTGTTATTTGTGTCCAACTCATACTCAGACACAAAATATGTCAGCCCTTCTGCAGATCTCAAACAAAAATAACTTCACACCTTCCTAAATGCAAAATTTATGGTAGGACCTTAGATACTGATGTTTTATATAAGATTAGTTTTCACTTCAAACAATAAAATAAAATAATTTAGGAGAACTTACTGCCTAGGAGACTGCCACTTGCCTAGATAAAATCGCTTCTCCCTTTCTTCTTAATATTACTACTCTGACTTTGTTTGGGTCATAATGTTTGCCCAGCTAAAGAAAATACATTTCTAAACCTCTCTTTTACCTAGGGATAACACATGCCATATGTTCTGGACAATGAGATGGAAACAGAAGTTTCTGGGTGCAGTTTTTGGGAAAGCTCTTTAAATGGGCAGACTCGGCTGGTGCACACCTTATGCCCTTTCATGTTCCCTGTTCTTCTTCCCACCTACAGCATGGAATCTAGCAAGAGGTGGATAGGCATAGGGTAAAAGTTATTTGCTAAGGATTGCAGAGAATAAAGACAGAAGGAGCATGGGTTTCTGATGGCACCATGAAGTCTGCAAGAGCCTATCTCTAGATTTCTAACTATGTGGGAAAAAAACCCTTTTAACTTAATTAAACTATTGGTGGTAGAGAGGGTTCTGTTATAAGCAGCCAAACGGAATCTTAACTGATACTAGAAATAATTCTCAATCTACCACAGATTCAAGCTTGCCTAAGCCTCAATACAACAACAGAAGGCAGACACTCTTTCCAAATACAGTAAAAGGCCTCTAGGTTGCGACTTGTGGTTTGGTGATTATACTGTAATACACTGAACGGATAATGAAATGATTATAATTGCATGCCATCTGAAACTCCAAAGAGTCGGTAATGTAGACAAGTCCCCAGGTGTTTCACCAAAGCCAAGGCTAAGTGGGATGGGATTAAAGCAATCAAACCTGATAAGAAGAAACCCAGGAACACACTCAGACAATGTTAAAAGCAGACATATAAATGGTTGTGTGTAAACTAGCAGCAGAAATCAGCCTCTCCAGGCACCCTGAGAGTCCTGTACTGGCCCCAATCCTACAGCCCCACCAACTGAACTGCTCCATCATGTGAATTGTTCTGTCCTGATATTCATTCATAAAAGGACAGAAGAATTAGATGAAGTTCTCTCTAATAATTTGTAAGAAACATGAGGTTTCGATATACAATATTAACAACACAGGCATAGGAGCTGCACCATCATTAGTCAATGTCCTGGGAATGAGAGAGCTGTGTAAGCACTGGCCTCCACTCAAGACCTAGTCAACATACACTCAGCATATACATGACTCTTGTTTCTTTGCTGGGTGTGGGAAACAGCCATACTACAGCAAGAAGACTCAGAGAAAAACCACAGTTTGAGGGTTGGCTTGGCCCCAGGCAAAAGACTGGAAAGGCCCTCCTTCTCCCACAACAGAAGGGTGCTCATGGGTGGGAAGGAAAAATTTCTGATAGACAGAACACAGACTGCAACTTGGAAGGTTCCAGGGAAGCAAGATCTGGGCTCTCTTACTAGAAAGATAATACTGTTTAGAGATTAAATTCTGGGAGGACTTTTTTCTTTTTTTAATTCCTTCCAGAAAAACACTCCTTTTAGCCTTCACTCAGGCTTCCTGGTGATGGAGCAGAGCTGGATGCCTCTTTGTAGTGAAATAATTCTGTAAATTCATTTTTTGAGAATGAAGGGGGATAAAGTAGGCAAACGCTACTCTCTATTTGAGTAGGTTAATGTCTCTTTGTGACCCTTGTACTCTAATTTAAGACAAGCAAACATTTCTATGCAGTATTCTCCCCACATTAGATTGTGTCCCAATTTGGATAAAATTCCCATGACATATGCAAAGACATTTCTTGTCCGTTTCCCTCTGGAAGCTAAACTATTGAGAAGGTACATTTTCTTGAGCATGTAAGTTACTAATCACTCACCTTCCTAGAATCAGGCCAAGACTGTTCAGAGCAAAGAACACATCCAGACTTTTATGCAACCCTGTGATGCTGTAAAAACCTTGCAGCCAAGGTGAGAGTGAGAGTAACTGTTTCTATTTTGGCAAAAGTAAGCTTCCAAAAGGCCTTTGTCTCACACTGTATGGAGTTCTTGGCTGTCTTCCATTCACAGTGTTTGTCGGCTGGGACAAGACTGGGTGCTGAGCAAGAGAAACAGTACAACTTTTCTGGTGCTGCTATAAAGCACTGGGCAGTACTACGACTCCAATAGGAATGGGACAGCAATCCAGAAGTTGCTCCTCTTCATATAGAGAGACCAAGCACACAAATACCTGAGACAGGATATGGAGCTGTCAAAGGTGTCGGAAGCCTTCCAACATATCCTCTCATTTCTAAAACCAATTACGAAGCTCCCCCTCCTTCAGTGAGTAGGAAAGGAGGTTCTTACTACCTCAAATGACCTACTCTAAAGGATACAAAGACAGATGCTTACCTGGACAGAAAAATTTCGAAACTATTGTTCACTAACCAATTGAGATCAGTGTGATTCTTCAGAGAGTCCCTAAATTAACTGTACTTGCCAACATTTAAGAAGCAATGAAGATAATTACAACTAGATATTCACATATACTCAAAACTGAGCTTGGACTAGTGTGTGACCTGACCAGCACAGTGTAGCTATGACACAGCTGGCTAAGACTAGGGCTGCAGTTCATGACCACAAAAGCCAGTGAAACCACCTTGCCCTAAGACATCACATGGGTGACCTTCCCTTATTAGCAGCCACACCTTCATCTAGCCACAAAACCAATCAGACACTGGTTGACGTTCTGATGCAAATTCAGACTCAGATGACCATAGACTCTGCTTTGCTTTACATTTCTTTCATATCTCCTTCAATGCCCAGCACTGTTTGATCACACACACATACATAAAAAGGTTGGCAGACTGATGTTTTTCTTTTTGAAACAAATTTCTTTAATAAATGTTCATTCAAAATGATTTATAATTCTGCTCTCAGAGATAACCTGTTAACATTTAGATGTTTTTCTATGCATATACAAACTTATTTTCTATATGTATGTATGCATGTATTTCTGTGTGCTGACAAAACACGGAATCACATGACACCTGATGTTTTGGAGCCTGTTTTTATTTCATTCAAATACCTATTCTGAGCATTTTTCCCTATCTATAAACGTAGACCTAGACTGCTGTTTTTAATGGCATTTTTTCTACTATGGTTTATTATACTTCACCAATCATCAATGCTATAAATTGACACACTGAGATACATCTATATTTGAAGCTATGGAAATATGTAAATATGTTCACAATATATTTTTTTCTTTTTTTTTTTTGAGATGGAGTCTCACTCTGTTGCCAGGCTGGAGTGCAGTGGCACGATCTCGGCTCACTGCAACCTCCGACTCCAAGCAATTCTCCTGCCTCAGCCTCCCAAGTAGGTGGGATTACAGGCACGTGCCACCACACGCAGCTAATTTTTGTATTTTTTTTTTTTAGTAGAGATGGGGTTTCACCGTGTTGGCCAGGATGGTGTCGAACTCCTGACCTCGTGATCTGTCTGCCTCAGCCTCCCAAAATGCTGGGATTACAGGCGTGAGCCACTACGCCCAGCCCACAATAGATTTTTGAGTTAAAAAATATAGGCCGCGCGCAGTGGCTCACGCCTGTAATCCCAGCACTTTGGGAGGCTGAGGCAGGCGGATCAGGAGGTCAGGAGATCGAGACCATCCTGGCTAAAACGGTGAAACCCCATCTCTACTAAAAATACAAAAAATTAGCCAGGCGTTGTGGTGGGCACCTGTAGTCTCAGTTACTTGGGAGGATGAGGCAGGAGAATGGTGTGAACCCGGGAGGCGGAGCTTTCAGTGAGCCAAGATCACGCCACTGCACTCCAGCCTGGGTGACAGAGTGAGACTCCGTCTCAAAAAAAAAAAAAAAAAAGGCCCCCAGTGTCTTTTTTTTTCTCTGTGTCACAAACAGAAAAGCACCCCCAAAATCTTATAGTTCCATTTTGAAATACCATATGTACATGTGCACGCACACACACACACGCATATATACACACACACATTCAGGTTGTTACCAGTTTACTTTGCTTTTTAAGAATAGTGTTGTGATAAACATCATGTTATCTATACCTTTTCACATATGCTGGATCATTTCCTTAAAATAATTTCCTCAAAGTAGAATAGCCAGATCAGAAATCTCTTTATTCTTCTGCTTCAAAACTTTTTAACATATATTCCCAAATTGCTCTCAGGAAAGGTTGTACCAATTTGTATTTCATCAGTATGTCTGAAAGGATTAAATTTACTTATCATTCCTTTGATTACTTTGAGAAAGCAGCTTGCACCCGATGAAAAGCTAGCTCACAATTGATGCTAATGCTGTTTCTTGTCCTTTTTATGTTTGTAAGATATTTATGCCTTTGGACAAACATGTCAATAATCTACACAGATATTATTCTAAAGAATAACCATTTAGGCCAGGTGCGGTGGCTCACACTTGTAATCCCAGCACTTTGGGAGGCCGAGGCGGGTGGATCACAAAGTCAGGAAATCGAGACCATCCTGGCTAACATGTTGAAACCCCGCCTCTACTAAATAATACAAAAAATTAGCTGGGCATGGTGACGCATGCCTATAGTCTCAGCTACTCAGGAGGCTGAGGCAGGAGAACGGTGTGAACCTGGGAGGTGGAGGTTGCAGTGAGCCCAGATCGAGCCACTGCACCCCAGCCTGGGCAATAGAGTGAAACTCTGTCTCAAAAATAAATAAATAAATAAATAAATAAATAAAGAATAACCATTTAATCATGGTATTAATCATGCTTTTTATTCTTCTCATAGCTCTAATAATTATGAACAAATTAATTTGCATACCATATTTAATTGTTCAAGTAAGTAACTATTAGTTTTAAAAATGTGCTAATTAATACTTAATGAGCCTTGGGCTTCTCCTAAGACACTTTCTTTAATATCATTTTAATCAATTTCTGTTTCTGGCCCGGAAGGTTTAAGTAAAACCCCCAAGTTGACATCATAATGCCATGTATATTTACGGTTAAAAATTATACATAAGAGATATTTGTACATCCGTGTTCATTGATGTATTATTCACAATAGCCAAGATGTAAAAGGAACCTAAATGTCCATCAATGAATGAATGGAAAAAGAAAATGTGGTATGTAGTACCCAAAAAAACTAAAAAAAAAAAACTAAAAAAAGAGAAAACATGGTATGTATATGTGTATACACACACAATGAAATGTTATTCAGCCTTAAAAAAGAAGGGAATCCTGTCATACGCTACAACGTGGATGAATCTTGAAGACATTATGCTAAGTAAAAGAATCTAATGACAAAATCATTTCACTCAACATGAGGTAATGAAACTCACAGAAAGTAGAATGGTGATTGTCAGAGGCTGGATGGGAAAGAGGAAAACAGGGAGTTGTTCAATGAGTACGGTTTCAGTCATGCAATATAAAAAAGTTCTGGAGGGCCGGGCGTGGTGGCTCACACCTGTAATCCCAGCACTTTGGGAGGCCAAGGCAGGCGGATCACGAGGTCAGAAGATCGAGACCATCCTGGCTAACACGGTGAAACCCCGTCTCTATTAAAAATACAAAAAAATTAGCTGGGCGTGGTGGTGGGCACCTGTAGTCCCAGCTACTTGGGAGGCTGAGGCAGGAGAATGGCGTGAACCCGGGAGGCGGAGCTTGCAATGAGCCGAGATTGAGCCACTGCACTCCAGCCTGGGGGACAGAGCGAGACTCCGTCTCAAAAAAAAAAAAAAAAAGTTCTGGAGATCTGTGGTACAGTATGCATATAGTTAACAATACTGTGCTGTATACATAAAAATTGTTAAGAGGATACATTTACATGTTTTCTACCTAAATGATAAAAAAAAGGTGATACACAATTATAAGAGCAACTAACTTTTGACTTTTTTTTTTTTTTTGAGATGGAGTTTCACCCTTGTTGCCCAGGCTGGAGTGCAATGGCCACGATCTTGGCTCACTGCAACCTCCGCCTCCTGGGTTCAAGTGATTCTCCTACCTCAGCCTCCTGAGTAGCTGGGATTACAGGCATGCGCAACCACGCACAGCTAATTTTTTGTATTTTTAGTAGAGATGGGGTTTCTCCACGGTGGTCAGGCTGGTCTCGAACTCCCAATCTCAGGTGATTCATCCATCTCAGCCTCCCATAGTGCTGGGATTATGGGTGTGAGCCACCACACCCGGCCTTTTATTGACCTTTTATCATGGGTCAGGCATTGCTTTAAGTGCTTTATGTTATCTCATTTATCCCTCCCAACCATATGACCTGTGTCTCCTCATCATCACCATTTACAGAAGAAACCAAGGCACAAAAAATGTTAGGAAATTTGTTCATAATTGCAGAGGTACTGAGTAGTAAGCTGGGATTCAAACCCATGGAGTATGATTTAAGAACCTCACTATACTATGCTGCCTTTCTTATTTATGTTATGCTGATTCCCTTTTAAAGCAAACATATCTAAAGCAAATTTATTTAAATCATATCTCTTTTCTAAAGCAAACGTAGAAATGTGTCCAGTTTCCACCAGATGTATATAAAGACAAATTTCATTCACCTTGCTCCAAGATCATTCTCTTTCTTGAGAAGGAAAGGAAAGTTTGAAAAAAAATTATTGTCTGTAAGCAAATGTTTGTTACTTATTGTTAAAGTGAAAGTGTGAGTATGTATACAGATAACATCAAAGGATCAGCCATGACCCCAGATAGAAAGCTCAACTGGCTAAATAAAGATAGGTCTGCTTCATTTTCAATTGTGTGTTTTAACTTTTATTTGTTAGTACTTATAAGAAATTATTTGTATATCAGGGCCCCGTTCTCCTAACGTGTCTGTATCTTATGTGTCCTGATTACTAAAATGAAATAATTAGTCAAAGGCAATCTCTAAGTTTCCTTTACAACTTTGAGGTTATAAACATCTAACTTGTCTCTGTCTTCAAATGTATAATTTGTTTTGTTTGGCCCAGGATCTCACATGGTTGGTTTACTGTGCATATCTTATACAGACCTTACTGTCACATATTCATTAAGTATTTTTCCCCTGGCTGCCACCATCTCAGATGGATGGATTGAAGTCTTTCATCATCTCACACAAAGTTACTGCTGGGAGTCCCTCATATACCTACAGACAAACAAACAAACCACAGGCCACGGAGTGAGGGAAGAGAATAAAACTGGTCACCAGACAGCTGCAGCAACCAAGCTGAGTTCTGAATCTTAATTGGTTACACTGACCCTTTTTTTTTTTTTTTAAAGATTTGTGTATACGAGAGTATATAGCAGTGCAGCAGCAATAATGCTGGAATGCCTTATCTGACTGATAAGTATGTAAACTAAAAAGAAAACGAAGAGTCAATTCTGTCGTGGGGGAGGACGGTAGAGTGGAAAGGGGCTTTGGAAGTCCTCTGACCTGGTAAAAATATTATCTCCACAATCAGGCAGCTGTGTGATCTTGGCTAAGTTACCCAAACTCTTTGAACATTGATTTCCTCATCAGTGGAATGGAGATAAGACTACATCTGGTGCACAGGAAGCATTTACTGCGTGTTCATTTTCCTCTAAGATTCCAGAAGAATATTCCCCTAGGAGCAGCTTAGAAAGCAACATGATGATAACCAGGGTACTTATGCTACTATCAGTAATAAGTTAACACAATGAAAGAAAGTCTGTATTGTAATAATACACTAAGATCAGACTTATATGATATTGAAAAAGCAAGCATAGGCCGGGCGTGGTGGCTCACGCCTGTAATCCCAGCACTTTGGGAGGCCGAGGGTGGGCAGATCACAAGGTCAGGAGATCAAGACCATCCTGGCTAACACAGTGAAACCCTGTCTCTACTAAAAATACAAAAAATTAGCTGGGCGTGGTGGCGGGCGCCTGTAGTCCCAGCTACTTGGGAGGCTGAGGCAGGAGAATGGTGTGAACCTGGGAGGCGGAGCTTGCAGTGAGCCGAGATCGAGCCACTGCACTCCAGCTGGGCGACAGAGCAAGACTCCGTCTCAAAAAAAAAAAAAAAACCAAAGCAAGCATAATATGAATTAAGCAAACATGTCATCTGTGGTAGTCACATTTGTAGACACCTGTCAGGTTTCCTGGGAGTCTTCTGAAAAACACCTATCATAGAAATAAAATTAAAATAGCATTACCAGTAACAGTGTTGAAAGGACAAAATAATAATTACAGAAATCATTCCTGTATTATTAATAACACAGGAATTAGTAACAACCCATACAAGTGCTCCTACTATCCAAACCTCTAGAACAAACGTCAGGATACTGCATGTGTTGTTAGGTGCTAAACCCATTACTTAATAAAAGTACAAGGGAGGGTAAAGGATGGGCATTTCCAAGATTGTTACGCCCAAGAACACCTTATTAAGATATTTCTTTCATTAAGAATTGAGGAGAGGCCGGGCGTGGTGGCTCACGCCTGTAATCTCAGCTCTCAGGGAGGCAAGAGGTGGGAGGATAGCTTGAGCCCAGGAGTTCAAGACCTGCCTGGGCAATATAGCGAGACCCCGTTCTCCAGAAAAAGGAAAAAAAAAAAAAAAAGATTGAGGTAATTGGGATGACGTCTAGGCCTAAGTGCAGGAAAACTTTTCTTTTGAGATGGTGCTTATGAATAGTAGGAGACTGGTGAAGAGACCTGATAATAACTTTTCAAACATAGTTTCATCGGAGTCAGTAAGTACTTGTTGGCTGGGTATGGTGGCTCACGCCTGTAATCCCAGCACTTTTGGAGGCGAAGGTGGGTGGATCACAAGGTCAGGAGTTCAAGACCGTCCTCACCACTATGGTGAAAACCCCATCTCTACTAAAAATACAAAAATTAGCCTGGCGTGGTGGTGTGCGCCTGTAGTCCCAGCTACTCAGGAGGCTGAGGCAGGGGAATCGCTTGAACCCGGGAGGCAGACGTTGCAGTGAGCTGAGATTGCGCCACTGTACTCCAGACTGGTCAACAGAGTGAGACTCCATCGCAAAAAAAAAAAAAAAATACTTGTTGAATGTATACATTGCAAGTTAGAATTTATGTAATAGTACTTACAGTTGCTGTTTATTGAATGCCTTATTAGCAGCAGGAGGCAGCATATAGCATAATAGCCATGAGCTTGGATGCTGCAGGCTGACAGACCTGGGTTCAAATCCCAGTTCTACCATTTATTACTTATGTGACACAGAGAAAGTTATCTAACTGATACTATGCTTTTTCATCTGTGAAATGAGGCTAATAAGAGGGCAGCTGTAAAGATCCACTGAGATAATACAAAAAAATGGCCACTTTGGTGCTTGACATATGGTAATATCAATATCACATCCTGAGAACTACAATCATGATAATACACAGGTATATATCATCATCTTCAAATTAGAGATAAGGAAAATGAGGTTTTAAAAGTTTGAATAACCTGTCTTAAGTCACGGACTAGACAGGGCCAAGACTTAAGCTGTGGGTTATCTGACTCCAAAGCCTGTCTAGAGTGGCCTATTTCCAAAACAACCGAATGCAGTATTATTTCATGTATTTTCTATGTATTTTCATTAAATAAGAATAAAAGTTTGGCTTGGCAAAATCTACTAAATCAAGTGGTCCTAGGAAAATCAATAATAACTAAAAGCTAGACACTAAGTATGAGTTCCTGCTAAAAGTCAAGTGGGAAAATAAAATAGAACAAAAGAACCAACCAAACAAAAAAACAACGAAGCAATAGGTTATGACATTAAGTTCCGGAGTCAATATGCTCTGGAACTTAAACACACACACACACACACACACACACACACACACACACACACACACACACTCCTCCCCTCTCATGTCCCCAGTCCAACCTTCCTCTCTGATACGCCATTATAAAGATGTATCAAGACACCTCCTGCATGGCTAGACTGTTTGCCTGCTCTTTGTGCCACGCTGAGGAGCTAGCATGTTATTGCCAGCTGCTTGGAAAAAGACAGGGTGCCTGCTGAATTTCTCTTTCTTTCCCCTCCCCTCCTCCACAACACAAACACACAGCAGCTGAAGGCTTGGCGAAACAGAATTCATTCCTGCAGGAGGAGGCAGAATTTTTTTAGACACGTGCAATGAACTTTTAGGAGCAAAATAACAAGACATGGTTCGGTTTATATGGGAATCCTTTCCACACCTGTGGGATTGTGTATATACACACACAGCATTAGCAAAAAGCTTGTTACACACTGCACTCAAGATGTTACCAGCAAACTGAAAGACCTCTTGATGTGAACAATGAGCTGCTGCCAGTCCTGCCTGTTATAGGAACATTAGTTTCTGCTAGGATTATTGAATCCAGATTAGTTTGGTAAACTTGGACATGGTGGGAAGGGAAAAGTAAAGAACAGATGGGGCAGAAGGATGAGAGAAATTTAGGACGCACAGTTTTCTCCTACCTTGAGTTATTTACTAATGTTGAAAATTAAGTCTACTAAAAATTGAAGGGGTTTCGAAAGAGACCGGAACCAGTGAAGAATTAAGATGTATTTAAAATCTCTCCTTTCTCCCATGATTGTTAAAGGAAACTTCGGCAATTCTGTGTTGGCCATCAATATGTCCTTAATTTTTCTGCTTTTGGGGCTCTTTTTCACTGTGGATGAGGCAGAGAAGAGAGTGGGAGGGAAGGAAGCAGGGAGTGGGTTGGGAGCAGAAGTTTAACAAAGGATCACTTTAACAGAAACTACTGAGTAATCGCTCTGTCCTGCGCCAAGAATAACATCAGCTCAATGTCTGCAATTAGAATCAGGTCAGTCAGGCCTCACAGCCGGTGCAGCCCTCCTCACAGACCCCAGCATGGAGAGCTACTCATGCTGATGTCACCAGTAGTCACTGTTACCCAAGAAAGTCCCCGACTCAGCTGAAAGAAAAGTTTTCTTTTGCCTTCTCCTTCAGGGGCAGGAAGACAGCAGGAGAAGAAAGACAGAATTAGAAGACATGCATTGGGCTGTATCAATATATAACAGATTTGTTTGATCATTCCTAACTCTTGAGATTCAGTACTTCCCACAACCATCCTGAAATTTTTTTTTTGCTTTTTTTTTTTTTTTGGAGACAGTCTCAATCTGTCACTCAGGCTGCAGTGGAGGGGCATGATCTTGGCTCACTGCAACCTCCGCCTCCCGGGTTCAAGTGATTCTCCTACCTCAGCCTCCTGAGTAGCTGGGATTATAGGCATGCGCCACCACGCCCGGCTAATTTTTGTATTTTTAGTAGAGACGGGGTTTCACCATATTGGTCAGGCTGGTCTCGAACTCCTGACCTTGTGATCCACCTGCCTTGGCCTCCCAAAGTGCTGGGATTACAGGCATAAGCCACCACGCCCGGCCCTGAAATTCATTTTTAAATGAGTTAATGTGTATAGAGAACCCTGAATAGTGCTTGGAACACAGCAAGTGCTTAAGTGGTGGCTATTATTATTAAAACAAAAAGGGAGGATTCTGCCTATTCATTAGGTTATTCCAAACCTAATGAATCAGAAATGGGATGGAGGAACAATTGTTTTAACAAGCCCTTCAAATGGTTCTGTTACTCTAGTCTATGGGTCTGCACACTAGGACCTATAGGCCAAATCCAGCCCATTGCCTGTTTTTGTACATAAAGTTTTGTTGAAAGACCGCCACACTCATTCATTTACATATTGTTTATGGCTGTTTTCACTCTACCATGGCAGAGCTGAGTAGTTGCAACAGAGATGCTATGGCCTGCAAAGCCTAAAATATTTACTATCTGGCTATTTACAGAAAAAGTTTGCTGACCTCTGCTCTGACTTAAAACAATGTTTTTCAAACTGCTGTTTTTACCATCAGTGTGTAAAAGCTCATTGTTTCAATTTTGTCTTATTTTGTTTATTATGCTCTCTATCATATGGACTGGATCACGCCAAGTTTCTTGTATCTCTGTTCCTGAAAACTTCCGCCACTGGCTCTGGGTGACTTTCCTCTCTCACTCCCATGTCACAGGATCAGTCTTTTGCAGGAGTGGATTAAGTATATGACAATTGCTACATTTATGAGTGCAATGCTATACTGAGATGAAGATCAAAGCTCATTCCCCATGAATACTGAGAGATGTCCATTTCCAAACTCATATCCTGAATCAGAGTTTAAGCAGAAATTAACACCTTCAATAAGTTGGATATCTAAGTGTTCTGACTGGAGGCCGAAAAGAATGGAGAACTTCCTATGTACACAATGAGAGAAAGGCTGCATGAACTTTCCCCAGACATTATTAGGAGATTACTATGTGAAAGATGCTGTTCATAAACATAATATGATATAAGATAAATATAAGGCCTCCTTTAACATCGCATTCCATAAACAGGCCTCTTTTATGGATGAATGCTAGGTAAATCAGATTTCAATTCTATCTACTGCTTTCAAACAGGCAGTTAACCACACTGTGAGTTATACCAATGGCTCCCTACACTTTAGAGAAATGAATCCAAGTGCAAGGAGTTCATTGGAAAAGTACCATTGCTATCTAAAGGGTAACCCCAGGACAGAAATACAGAATACTGAGAATGTAAACCATGCTTCAATCAACAATTTAGTGATAATTATAATGGTCAGATCTAGCACAGCTAAGCTACAAAGGTATAAAATCTACTAGGGCTTTGCTTCCACTGTGGAATGATTCTAAGTACCCTCTAAAATAAAGTGCTCTAAGTTTCTACATATTCTTCCTGTTAGAATATTTAATATCTTATTTGTTATCTTATTAGTTATAAACTCTTGAAGCTAATGGAATTTAGTTACTTTAGCTCTCTCCTACAGTCCCAGAAACTTCACCCTTACTCATTTTTACCTAAATCAGCTGTGGTTTAGAAGAACGGGTTCGGGGTGTTGGGGAGAAGAAATAATGTTACACACATATATACAATTATGATGAATGATTTTCTGTTTGCTCTCCAGGAGAACGAGATAACTCCCTTCTTGGGAGTTCTGCCTCCTCGCTAAAACAGATATTCTGACAGATTCTAAAAAACATAATTTCCATATACTTCATAATTCAGTGAAACTAAACCAGTATAATCCTCAGTGAAAAGAAATTCCACACAAGAATAGTAGTACAGTACTTTGAATTTTCAAAGGAATGTGAGTTGCTGGAAGCTAATCAAAACTATGAGAAGGACTTAAAAATGAAGCAGTTTCTAAAAGTGAAAATCAACAAAACTGCCTCTCCTTCCCCAGTCATCCTCCATTTCAAGGTATTGAAGCATAGTTTAAAAGGTACCAACTGTCTAGATTCATTAGAGCCAGAGAGTTTTTTTTTCTGACTTGTATTTTAGGCTCAGGGGTGCATGCTCAGGTTTGTTATGAAGGTAAATGGCGTGTTGCGGGGGTTTGGTGCACACATTATTCTGTGGCCCAGGTAATGAGCCAAGGACCTGAGAAGTAGTTTTTTGATCTTCAGGCTATACAGTGATACTTCCACTATCCAGTATCTGATTAAGTTGGCATTCTCAAGTACTCTGAATGACAGGGAGTTTAAAGTTTAAAAAGCTTTAAGAAATTTAAGAACACAGATTAAAAAAAAAAAACAACAACTAAGACACACATTTGTATCTGGAATTGTGAAAATGCAAACTGGCTTAAATGTGTCTACTATCCTCAAGACCTCAAGATTTTCTAAATGAAGAAAATTTTACATGACAGAAAGTGATGTGATTACAATGAGATGCTATATTCTATGCTTTCCAGATTAAGAGATTTTATTTTTCTCCAGTAAAAATGGTCTAAAGAACTACTTTGCAAATGCCGGCACTTACAATTTCTCAATTATGATGAATTAATATAATGTACAGAGTATACTACCGCAGGTAAAGATGATCAATTGATGAACTATGTTGAAATAATAAAATGACATTTTATTATGGGTGGTAGTTGAAAAGATAAGACAGACTATAATAATAATTGTTTTACTTAGAGGAAAAAACCTTTGGGAAATGTTGCTTTAGTCTTTGAGTAAATAATTTTGCACAAACTCATACACACTATGTACTACATTTTTATAAGAAAAAAATGATCAGGAGATCAAACTGATAAAAAGTTATTTCTTCACATAACCAAATGTCAGAAAAGCTTATAGAATCAGTACTAATTCATTCCAATAACCCCACTGTAGAACACAGTAACTATTCTAATGATGATCCTGAGTCACCAAGAAAAATTTAACTCCTGAATTTTCGGTGAGGTCATCCTTTCTCTACAATTGGGGCCATACTAATATATTAGTGCTATATACTTATATAGCTCCCTCACTCAGTAGTTTCTGGCATTTTATAGACAGTGAGTAGCGAATCAACATCTCCCTACACATAAGTTGCACAACAGCAAGGATTTTTGTGTGTACAGTCACCTTATAGCCCCACTGTTTAAAACAGTGCCTAGTACACAGTAGAATCACAGTAAACATTTGTTGAATGAATAGCTATCATTTATAGATGACCTGCATGCTAACATATGTCCATTTCCCACCAGAAGAACTTGCAACTTATTTATTCCTTGAAAATCTTGTTAGATAATGAGTAATATCACGCACATATGCCAAGTATATCAAGGCAAGAAAGTAGAACATTTAGAAATAAAGATGCTTAAAATACAAGCTTTCAGGTATCTTAGAATCAGACCCTATGGGAGGTTATAAACTAAGATCATACAACAGAAAGGGTAAACACCACAATAGAGATTTTTGTATAGAAGCATTCAAATGAAAAAAAAACATGTCAAACACTGGTTAAGCATCACTTTCAAGCAAAGCCAGTGTTATGGCTCCAGAACAGTTTTTCCTCAAGAGTAGACTCCCCATGAGCTGTCCAAGCCAGGATGGCACGGGGTTGGAAAACTAATCCTACATTTCTCATTCACTGACCTTTTTTTTTTTTTTTTTTTTTTTACCAACAGCAGGAAGATATAACACATGGAAAAGACTTATCTTGAATTACCTGGTGCCGGGCTCGACTCTGGTCCAGGAGCTGCCGGGACTGAAGTTTTTGTTGTTCAAGTTGCTGCAGGGCAAATTGAAGCTGATAGCTGCCTGCTGTGGGGTGATACTTGTGCTGGGGGACCACCCCTGTAGCCTGGCTGTACACGTTGTTTTCTACTTCTCCTTCCCAGGCAAATCCCCCTGTCTGCAGGCTCCTGAAGAGAAAAGCAAGCAGGTTTCTTAGAGTGAGTGGCTGTATGAACAATCTAGAGGAAAGGAGAGAAATATCTCAGGTATTTTTCCAATATGGAACCAAGCACAGTTTGGAATTACAAATCTACTTGTGTGATATTATCTCACTCCCCCACTAAACCGTAGCTCCATGATGACAAGGACAGGGTCTGTTTTGCACTCTCTTCTTTTCCTAGCACGTATCATAAGGCCTGGCACACAGTCAATGTACAATAAATATTAGCTGGATGTAAAACAACTGAAATAGCAATTTCATTCCCCTGTGATTGCCAGAAGACCTACAAGAAGAGTCCAGAGAGCTTCCAATGCAGGATGGGGGGCTAACTTAAGGCAGGAACAGATGCATGATCATTTTCTCTAACATCAACTTCAAAAGGAAAAGGGTTCATCACACAGAATTTGTTTTCTCTCAACCACCCATCAGTTAAATATCTAAATATTTTTTAGAAGTTGTTTATATTTGAGCTTATGTCCCTATGACTGGGTAACATAAATGGTGTGGGAAGACACTTTTTTTCATTATTCCAAATTTACCTCACAGGGTCCCCACTGAGGCTGACAATCTGTACACCTGAGGAAGGCGAAGGGCCGGTGGCCTTTTTGAGTAGTCAGTACCTATGCTATGTTATAGTATTTGTTAAATACTTTGACTATCTTCCTTGCCCAAATTATTTATTTATTTAGAGACAGGGTCTCAATCTGTAGCCCAGAATGGAGTGCAGTGGTGCAATCACAGCTCACCGTAGCCTCAACCTCCCCATGCTCAGGTGATCCTCCCACCTCAGCCTCCTGAGAAGCTGGGATTCTAGGTGTGTGCCATCATGCCTGGCTAATTTTTATATATTTTTTTTGTAGAGACGGGGGTTTAACCATGTTGCCCTGACTGGTCTCAAACTCCTGGGCTCAAGCGATCTGCCCACCTCAGCCTCCCAAAGTGCTTGGATTGCAGGCGTGAGCCACTGCACCCAGCTCCAAATTCTAGATTCTGGTGACCATGTCTGTGTACTTCCTAGCAGAAGTCTTTACAACTATAGCCTCCTACATTTCCCCTCTCAGATCACTTTTCCCAGTAGAAAAGACCCCATTTATACTACTTCATTCCCATTTGGCTATTATTAAAACAAAATACCTGACGATAACAAGGGTCGCTGAGGATGTGGAAAAACTGGAACCCTTGTGCAATGCTGGTGGGAAAGTAAAATGGTACAGTTACTCTGGAAAACACTTTAGGGGTTCCTCAAAAAGTGAAACACAAAATAACCAAATGATCCAGCAATTTTTCTTGTAGATATATACAGAAAAGAATTGAAATCAAAACTAATAACCGTACACCAATGTTCATAGCAGCATTGTACAAAATAGGCAAAAGGTGAAAACAACCCAAATGTCCATCAACAGATGAATCTACATACAATATTACTCAGGCTTAAAGAGAAAGGAAATTCTGACATATGCTGCAGCACATGTACAGAACCTTGAAGACATTATGCTAAGTGAAATAAGTCAGTCACGAAAGAACAAATATTATATGATGCCACTTATGTGAGGTACCTGGAATAGGCAAATTTTAGAGACAGAAAGTAGAATGGTGATTATCAAGGGCTATGGAATTAGGGAATAGGAAGTCATTTTTCAGTGAGTACAGAGCTTCAGTTTGGCATAATGACAAAGTTCTGGAGACAGATGGTGGCTAATAGTTGCAAAACAGTATAAATGTACTAAATACCACTGAATTGTACACTTTAAAATGGTTAAAATGGTAAATTTTATGCTAAATATATTTTAGTATGATTTTCTAAAGGTCTCATTTCTTTTGAGAACAGTCTTGTCAGTCCTTCCATCTCCTTAACACTTTTGGTTATTCTTCTTGGGACCATCTTTAATTACACTGTATTTCTTTTCCTTTTTAGGTACAGTGACAGGAAAATTGTACATAGAAGAAACATAAGACTTTCATAATGAACAACCTTGCTCCAAACCCTGGTTAAGGGGGCTTAGAAAAATGAAAGGGTGCCTAAATTGAGAAAAGTATTCATAGTGATTTAAATCAGTGTTATTCTTTCCTTTGTCATTAAAGTCATTTCAATGACAGAGGTGTAGGAACCCTGAAGTGAGGCTACACAGACCTTCCAGAGTCCTCACCTAAAAGCCACATAGGGTTATTTATAGCCTGGGTCCTGATGACTCAACAGAGCACTGAAGGAGGGAGCAAAGTGAAATGTTTGCCAAGCTCAGAAGTCCATGCTCCTCTGTTGCCTGTGCCCTCCCTCACAACCTGGTCTTTTCGGGCCTCTGCTTTGGTTTCCCAACTCTCTTAGAGAGATTTCCAAATCTCTCGTTAAGGGTAAGTCCGTGAACTGTATTCTTTCGGCTTTCTATCCCATAATCTCACCTCTGATATGTCACATCCCTTACTCATCTCCTCCCACAGTTTGGCTCCCACAGTTCAGTTGCTCAATTGTATACCATCTCCTAATCTTCTTGGAGAACACACCAAAAAGCTCAGAGCTTATCTATTAAGTTTTCTGAGTGCGACATTTGATCTTCAGTGATCCTTCTTGAAGTGCCTCAGTGTGCATGTTATCAGACAGTTAAAAGGGCATGATCTTTCCCAAGAGACTTCTAGACGTATGGAGAAACATGGTGAGCACTGATCAAATATAAATAAATACTTCAATACATTAGTGAAATGTTAACATTATTCACAAAGCAGGGTGCTGAGTGACAGTAAAACAGGATGACATCGTTAGGAAAGGAGGAGCCTGAGGAACCTATTATCTCTTTTCTCATTAGTGAGGGAAGAGAAAAGCTTACTGAAGATAAAACACCCAAAACTACTCAACAGCTACTGGCTCAGCTAAAGGAACGGAGTGAGCTGTGAACGAAAGGGGGAGCCACCAAGAAAGGTATCTAGGTTCAAGGCAGGAGTGGGCTGATCCAGTGAACAAATGAATACAAAGGAAAGAAACAGGTGAAAAAGAAGAAACTGCTTTAGCTGGCTAACCTTGAGATTTCCACACCAATTAGGGCAGGTGCTGCTTTGAATCCAGAATTAAACTATTAGTTACAACTGGACTAAAGTTCAGAAAGCCCATCAACAGTGGTTCTGCTTTCGTTCCTGCTTTGCTGGTTACAGAAGTTGCTAGCTACAGAAAGCAATCTAGACTCAGTGATTAGATTTTACAGTATTTATATAACTATGAAGCTTACATCAGAATTCATCTCACTGGCTAGATTGGTTCATTTGCTAAAAGCTGTTTTAATAACAAATATCCCCAGGAGACATTCACTTTAATGCCTTCTTGTGTATCAGAAATCAAAGTCTGAAACCAAACCAGGCCCCTTTATGTGGGGATGATCATGGACAGGTTTGCAGGTGTGTGAATATGAGGTGGGGGTCTGTGGATATATAAAGGGTAGGACAGTGGGCAAGAGAAGATCAAATAAGGAATTATGGATAAGAAAGGATGTGTTCCTCCAACTGCACACATATTGAACGGACTGGAACATCATAAACTTTTATAATGAAATCTGTTTTTAATCTCCTCAGTAACATAAGCCCAGTCTACAAATCACAAAAGGAAGTTTCTCAAGCAAGTAGAGGCTTTTAGCAAAGAGGCAGGCATTTTTACACTGCAACACTGGGTGGGGGCAGAAATGCTCAGCTGTGTAATGTAATAAGTGCCACGAGAAACTTGCTTGCTTTGAGTTACAGTGGGTGTCACTCAGCCCATGGTTTCTCACACTTAAAGCACAAGCCTTGGGGTTTGCAGTATGCTAATGCTATAATGATTGACACAGCGGAGGCCAGGTGTACCATAACTTGGCCTTTCCTTGATTTCTGGTGCCCAAGTTTATATATCTAAATATTCCTTTCTAGGCATCTCATACTTTCTATTTCAATGCAAAATTCCATCCCATTCTTGAACCTCAACGAATTCTATTTTTCTAATAATGTTTTTTCTACTCCTACCAAAAATTTTGAGGTTCAATCATTCTCTCCAAAATTTAGTGTTTTTCCTTGCTCAATGCTAAAACATAATATTGTACACAGGCCCCGTAAATATCTTCTAATTGATTTACTTTACTTCTACAACAGAGTACACAGAGCCAAGAGAATTAGCTGTGGGAAGGTTCTGTGCTTAACATCTGATTCAAAGTGAATTAGGCTGTATTTCCCCTTTACATATGTAGCAAATAGGCAACAATATTGCAAATTTTTCTAAATACTACATTCTCTTAATAGCCTATCCATTTAGAACTTTATCTTACTTTCTATATTGTACTGTGGCACTGCAGGATGAAATGTTTTTCTCTACAACTGCCCTTCCTGCAGCATACCTGCAACCTCCAGCCAATAAACATTGAAGAGCTATACTTTTCCTCTGGTTTAATATCTGTTCCATCAAATGGATACTGGTTTTAGGGAACTTGGAGGGAATCTGAAAAATGTAAAGCAAAATCTCAATGGAAGTTGCACTCTCCATAAAGATATGCAGAGGACTGTGACACTTGTATAGAGGGTGATTCCACGGTCCATCTTCCCAGCCTCCTCCACCCAAGTCCAGCCAAACACAAGCTACCATGTACAAGGATGCCCCTGCTCTTTTTGATCGTGCTTGCAACTGTGAGTGTGCTTTCAATTGTCACAATGATGGGGGTGGAGGTGTCACTGACATTTAATTGGCGGAGGTCAGGGTGTTAAATATCCAGAAATGAAAGGAATAGTCTTGTATTAAGAAAATGTGTGCTGCTTAAAATGCCAGTGGTGCTTCTGATGAGAAACACTATAAGGCCATGAAGGAGGTGCTTTCTGGGGAGAAATTATTTCTTTACAAGAAAGTCTATTCACTTCAATGGCACTTTGTGAAATGTACAGATATTTAAATCTTCAAGTATTAGGAAGATGTCAAACTCACAGTGGTGGATACACGTTTTCCAAAAGTCAAACTTTTCCTGAAAAGCTGTAATTTTATCATTGACAACAAATACTGTCAGTTGTATTCTTTGAAGTGATAGGCTCACTGTTTACTTTTGAGGAAACAACTGCCAAATATCCAAATCCAAATAACCCTAGTTTGTCTATCAGATAGATGCTCTTTCAAGTTCAGGGTCACAAATGCCTTTCCTTGAGACAACTATTACATACTAAGCAGCCGAATTGCTTTATGTGTACATCTCATTTTGTCAGACAGAATATTAAAAAGATATACACTCCAGGGTTGAGTTTAAGAAAATATTACTGCTTATGAAGGATACTCTTAAGTAGCACTGGCATTTCTTTCAAGTGAAAATGCTATGGTGGTCAAGAATACAGTGACTTCTACTACAGTTTGGTGCCATTGCCTGGATCTGTGCTAAGGCACGAGCAGTTTTACAAAACCCACCATCGTTTTTGTACCATCGGTGCAAATGTCAACACAGTGAAAAAAGTAGAAATGTCTCAGTACCACTATGAAAATGTTTGATTCTATTGGCTTCCTCAAAGGGTCCTGAGGATCCCCCCTCCTCCCAACCTCTCCGCAGCCCCCAGGTCCAATAATAGCACTTTGAGAATCACAGACCTGCTGCAATACGTATTTTAAAAATTTAATTTGTAATCAAACCTTTTTAAAAACCTTAATATTTTCTTACATAGAAGGAAAATTCTAAGCCCGGATGATTACAAAATGAATTCTATGCCAGGCGTGGTGGCTCACTCCTGTAATCCTAGCACTTTGGGAGGTCGAGGTGGGCGGATCGCTTAAGTTCAGGAGTTCGAGACCAGTCTGGCCAACATGTTGAAACCCCATCTCTACTAAAAATATTAAAATAGCCAGGAGTGGTGGCTGGTGCCTGTAATTCCAGTTACTCAGGAGGCTGAGGCAGGAGAATCGCTTGAACCTGGGAGGCGGAGGTTGCAGTGAGCGGAGATTGTGCCACTGTACTCCAGCCTGGGCGACAGAGTGAGACTCTTGTCTCCCCCTCCCCACCAAAAAAAAAAAAAAGAATTCTATCAAACAAGAAGAAATAATTCCATCCTTTCACAAACTCTTCCAAAAAAGAGCAGAGAAAAAAAAAACTTCCCAACTCATGAGGTTAGCATATCTCTAATACAGAAATCTGACAAAGATAGTACAAAAAAAAATTACTTTCTTTTGGTCTTTTCAGACCAATATGCCTGATGAACACAGATACATAAAAAAACTTTAACACAATATTAGCTAATAAAATCTATCTATCTATCTATCTATCTATCTATCTATCTAATCAACCAACCAATCAAATACACTAGGATAATATATCATGGCCAAGTGGCATTTACCATAGGAATGCAAGGGTAACATTAGAAAAAAAATCTATCATATAATTCACCACATTAAGAGAATGAAGAAAAGTCATATATTAATACCGTTAGACATGAAATGCATTTGACAAAATTCAATACCCATTTCCTGACAGACACTCTTAGTAAACTAGAAAACATTTCTATTCAACAGCAGTAAAGGATGACCTAGCCAGTTTAAGACAAGAAAAAAAGATATTATTCATTGACAGATGATTGTTTACATAGAAAACCTTATAAACTTTAGAGAGATACTGCTAGAACTAATAAATAAATGTAGCAAAGTTGCAGTAATCATGGTCCATAAACAAAATGAAATCATATTTTTATATTCTAGAAATACACAATTGGAAAATGAAATTTTAAAAAGCAATACAACTCGGCTGGGTGTGGTGACTCACGCCTGTAATCCCAGCACTTGGGAGGCGGAGGTGGGCAGATCACAAAGTTAGGAGTTTGAGACCAGCCTGGCCAATATGTTGAAACCATGTCTCTACTAAAAATACAAAAATTAGCCAGGAGTGGTGGCGGGTGCCTGTAGTCCCAGCTACTGGGGATTCTGAGGCAGGAGAATCACTTGAACCCGGGAGGCAGAGGTTGCAGTAAGCTGAGATCGTGCCACTGCACTCCAGCCTGGGCAACAGAGAGAGACTCTGTCTCAAAAAAAAAAAAAAAAAAAGCAATACAACTTATAATATCATGAGAATACATCAAATACCTAAGAATAAATCTAATAGAAAATACATAAGGTCACTACACTGAATTTATAAAACACTAATGAAAGATATTAAACAAAACCTACATAAGTACAAAGATATACCATGTTGACTCACTGGGAGACTCAATATTGTTAGAATGTCTATTCTGTATTTCAGATATTGTTTTTCTCAGTTTCACAATTTCCATTTGGAAATCTGTCTTTATTATTATATTATTATTGAGATGGAGTGTCACTCTTGTACCTCAGAGGCTGGAGCACAGTGGCATGATCTTGTCTTACTGCAACTTCCGCCTCCTGGGTTTAAGCAATTCTCCTGCCTCAGCCTCCCAAGTAGCTGGGATTACAGGTATGTGCCACCACACTCGGCTAATTTTTGTATGTTTAGTAGAGATGGGATTTTGCCATGTTGGCCAGGCTGGTCTTGAACTCCCGACCTCAGGTGATCAGCCCGCCTCGGCCTCCCAAAGTGCTGGGATTACAGGCATGAGCCACTGCACCTGGTCAATATTTTGTATTTTTCATTCATTAAAGCATATTTTCCTTTACATCCTTGTGCACAGTTATAAGAGTCACTTTAAAATCCTTGTCTGTTAATTCTATCATCTGGGCCTTCTAAGGATTGGTCTTCATTGATTATCTTTTATTCTGAGGATAGGTCATATTTTCCTATTTCTTCCTACATTAAATAATTTCATATTGTATCCTGGATATTGTGAATGATATGTTGTAGAGACTGGATTGTATTATGTCGCTCTAAAGAATGTGTGTGTATGTGTTTTAAGTAGATGGTTAACCTGGAGAAACTCAAATTGCAATTCTTTCTTCTCCTCCGTGGGCTGCAGCTCAGATCAGTTCTTTTTGTGTTACCTGCATGCTTTGAAGTATGTCTTGCATATGCATTAGTCAGGGGTCAGTCAGAGATTTGGGAAAACTTTCTACATAGAATTTAGGCTCCCCTCTTCTGGAGATGTCTCATTTCCAGAGTTCCCCTCTCCCTCTACAGCAGATGTGGTTATCCTGAACTCCATCTTCCAGTTCACCAAGCCAGTTAGACTGCAGATTTTGGGGCAAGTTTTATCTGCTCCATGTGGTGCAAACTATGACTTGCCCTTAAGTGAAAAGGCAACAACAGAAAACAAACAAACAAACAAAAACCCAGAAAACTCACCCGTGGCAATTCCCTTCTTTCAAATGTTGATTCATCTCCAGTATCAATCAGCTTTTGTTCACCCTCCAGTGCCTTTAAATAGTTGTATTTTATATTTTATCAAGTAGGTTGATCAGATAAAGACTTAGCCAGAACTGGAAACTACCCCCTAATCAATCTACAGATTCAAAGCGATCACAATAAAAATTCCAGCAGGCTTTGTTTTTGTTGTTGAAGAAACTGACATGTTGATTTTTTTTTTCTTATTTCTTTTTTTTTTTTTTTTCTTCTAGCATACCTCTGGTGGCAGGAAAGGTTGATTGCCACATTAGGGAAAAATCAAAGAATCTATATTAGTCAAAACAATCTTGAAAAAGATAACTTACATCACCTGATTTCAAGACTACTATAAAACTACCATGATCAAGACATTTCTGCTCATCAAAAGACATCACTAAGGAAAAGAAAATGAATAAGCAAGACATGCCTTTGAGGAAAAATATCTGCAATATAGGTATGTATATGTGACAAAGGATTTCTAGTGATAAAATATAAAAATGCCCTATTGGTAACTGTTGATATGAATAACAAAAATAATGAGATTTAAGAACATGTAAAAGATTGGAACAGTCAATTTACAAAAGAAAATATGTGACTGGCTAACAAGCAAATGAAAAGTTCTCAACATCAGTACTCATCAGGGAAATGCAACTAACATCTTACATCTACTAACATGACTAAAATCAAATGGAGAACAATATCAGATGTTAGTGAGCATGAAGAGCAACTAGAACTTTCATACATTGCTGACGGGGGTGTAAAATGATGCAATCGTTTCAGAAAACTACTGGTCAGTTTCTTATAAAGTTAAACATATATTTACACGACAGGACAATTCTACTTCTAGGTATTGACCCAAAAGAAATAAAAATGTGGCTAAAAAAAAGTTGCATAAGAATTTTCACTGAATTTGTATTCATAGTAGTCAAAAACTGGAACCAATCCTAATGCCTATCATTACAGAAATAAATTGTGGTGTATTCATACAATGAAGTATTGCTCAATAAAAACGAATGAACTGCTAATATAAGCAACAAAACAGATGAATCTCAAAAACACTGTATTGAATGAAAGAAGCCAAACACAAAAGAACAAATATTGTATGATTCCATTCATGAACAGGCACAGCAAATCTACAGTGAGAGGAGTCAGAAGAATGATTACTAGTGGGGAGGGGCAGTATCGACTGGAAAAAGACGCAAGGGAATTTTGAAGTGTGATGGAAATGTTCTGTATGTTGTGTTGCATGGTGGTTAACAAAGATATATAAAATTGCTGAAACTCATCAAATTGAACAGTAAAATATATATATATTTTCTCTCTCTTTTTTTTTTGAGACGGAGTCTTGCTCTGCCACCCTGACTGGAGGGCAGTGGCATGGTCTCCGCTCACTGCAACCTCTGCCTCTGGGTTCAAGCAGTTCTCATGCCTCAGCCTCTTGAGCAGATGGGATTGCAAGTGTGTGCCACCACGCCCAGCTAATTTTTGTATTTTTAGTAGAGATGGGGTTTCACTGTGTTGGTCAGGCTGGTCTCGAACTCCTGATCTCAAGTGATCTGCCCGCCTCGGCCTCCCAAAGTGCTGGGATTACAGGCGTAAGCCACTGCGTCCAGCCAAAATAGATGATTTTTTAGTTTACATAATTATACCTCAATTTTAAACAGACAAACATGCAAACAAAAAGTTACAGCATTTTCACTTATCTTTCATTAAAACTCTTGTTATTATTTCCTGTTTTTATAATTTCCTGATTTTAGCTATAAAATAACTTTTTCTCTCTTGTACTTTGCAATACTGGGATCATATGTAAAGATACATGCCTAAGCAGTTATTTCATTTCAGTGCAATTCAATCCACATTTATTGGACACTGTTCCTAGGTGCTTACGGACTACCAAGAAGAAAAACACATAGTTCCTGCTTTTTAAAAGCTCATGACCTAGAGCAGTGACTTGTCAGGCGAGTCCACAGGAAGAATGAGGAGGTGAAAAAATGTCAGGAATAGCAGGACTCTGGAATAGGTGGTATTAACACAGGGGTTTAAAGCCCAGGAGATGTTAGGCAGAATCAAGGGGAGCTAGCTTATATGTTAACATTAGTGATGAAAATCATGTTAGTCCGAATGACCCAGTAAACTGGCATGAAGGTCTGAAGAAGTGAGAAATGCAAAGACAGTGACAATCTTGGTGTAAATGAGTCCTGTGGATGAAGGGCAGAAAGAATGGTTGGCTCTGAAAGTAAGCTTGATGATATATTGATAATAAAAGTCAAATGTAGTTAGAAGAGAGTCAAGGGTCATAATAGTTAAATTTAGCACTGAAATTGCACAGTGGAGGCTCTGTAAAGAATAAATCTGTTTATGAAATGCGTTCAATGAATGATTGATAACTACTCTCATTAGTAAAAAAGAAAAGCTGAATTGCACTTAGATATAAACTTAATACATACTGAAACAGTCTACTAAGAAATCTTAATGTAAAAGGTAAATTATAAATTAACTATAACTGTTAATAACTGTCAGTAACTGCTGACTGGGAACACTGATAGCTAGCCAAATGAAATCTGTGCTTAACATTATTTAAGTGAGTTAGACGGACCTGCCAAGAGTTCACACTCATGGTGACAAGTGCTTTGATTCTTAGAGAATTTATGTGTTAGAACAAGATTTTTAAGTGATCTCTAAAAATTATAATACTAAAGAAATTAATTTTTTTTTAACCTTTGAGTTTACACCTTGAGATAAGAGTATACTCTCTTCTGCTTTTCCTGTTTTGAACCTATGGAGTTATACAGAAATGGTTCTTCTATGGGAAGAGTTAAAGTATAATAGGGATGGTGTTAGAGATCATGAAAAGCTCAGAAATAATCTGGAAAAACTATGTGAACTTTTGATGCTAGGTCAAAAGCACATAACTACACGAAATTGTAAGTGCAAGCTGGTCTCCTTGCTTGAGAACAGGGTGAAAGGACTTAAAAACTTCTAAATAATTTGTTTACTTGAGAGGATGAAAGTCTCCTGGGAAAGGATTAAAGAAATAATCCAAGAAAGAAGACAAAAAGAAATAAAAGGTTTTGGGTGCTGGGAAGGAATCAAACCCAATGCAAGCACTGAGATAGTGAGAATTCAGGAGGCCTTGCACTCTGGGTCCACACCACGGGTCTGCACAGGACCACCTGCAGAAGGGGAGGCAGCAATGCAGTGACTAAGGCTGAGATCGAGCGCAAGCCTGCAAGGTTCAGATCCTAGCTCTACCACTAGAAGCAACATGTTTAACCTCTCTGTGCCTTGGTTTCCTCAGCTGTGAAATGAGAATAAAAATTAATCCCATCTCTCATAGGGTTGGTCTAAAAATTACATGTGATAATCTATGTACAGCGTTTAGCACATGGCATGCATAATAAATGTTCAGTAAACATTAGCTATTATTAACATTCTTCCCATGGAAAGTGAACCCAAGCTTTCGGGGCACGGGGTAACCAATAAGGGTACTAAACAACAAGCACTGCTTCTGAGAAAGAAGAAGTATACTACTTCAAAGCAGTATTTACAATGCCTTTACACCAAGTTTTGTGTCTATGTGAGATCACCTGGGTGATAAATGAGGGCAGCCAAACTATTGGATCCAAAAAAAAGACGCCAGAATCACTCAGATGTGTGAGCAGGAGAGTAAAGTCCATTTGCCAGTCTCACCCGCCAGAGAGAGCGGCTGCACGGTGGCCCCTGCTGGAGGGGACTTTCCTATGGTGGAAGCCTGCTGCTCCACGCCAATCCCGCTGCAGAATGCTCTAATTCTGGGCAGAGTGGCTCCTGTGGGGAAGTGGGGGTTTACTAATAATGCTGATTACCAGAGAGAAGCAATGGTTCAGGCACTGGATGTGAGCACTGACGAATGAGAAAGATTACCAAATCTTCCTCCCCTCCCCCAAGGCTAAATTACCAGCAGCGGCTATATACCCTTTCACCTTTTCAAAATGAAACAAAACCAAAGCAATTTTTTAAGAATAAAAGTATTATATTCTCAATGCCTAAAACCTGAGAGACAAAAAGGCATAGAGAAATTCATCCGTGATCCAACAACCAAAGACGTCTGCTACATTTTGTCACCATGTTGACGTATATTCTTCCTCTGTGTGTATTTCCCTTGCACAAACAGAATGAGTCCATACTCTATGCTTTATAACCTGCTTTTTCATCTGATAATGTTATGAACATTTTCCCACAAGATAATATGTGCTTTTGGCAGTTCTTATTCCATTAACTTTTTTTTTTTTTTTTTTTTTTGAGACAAGGTCTCACTCTGTCACTCAGGCCGAGTACAGTGGTACAATCGTGGCTCACTGCAACCTCTAAGTCCCAGGCTCAAGCAATCCCTCCGCCACCTCCGCCTCCTGAGTAGCTAGGACTACAGGTGTGTGCTAACACACCTGGCTAATTTTTTATTTCTTGTAGAGATGAGGTCTCACTACGTTGCCCAGGCTGGTCTTGAACTCCTGGACTCACCGCAGCCTCCCAAAGTGCTGGGATTACAGGCATGAGCCACTGCACCTGTCCTTCTATTGTTAAATTCTATTATATTTAAAGTCAACCTAAACCCTTAAAGTCTTCTTTACACTTGAATTTTTGAACTCATGTGAAAGGCTTTATGTTTTTCCCTATTAAATTCCATGAATTAGATTCATTATTCTAGCCCGTTTAAATCACGGTGAATCCTGCCTGTCATCCCAGGTATTCATTATTCCATGGAATTCCTACTTCATGTTATCTTAGAACAGGATTCACGTGTCTTCTACCTACCTAAGTGCCTAGCATATACTAGGCACCTAAATAAATATGAATGAATAAATTCATTGATAAACACTGGGAACTATGAGTCAATGACAGAGTCCCAGAAACTTAATTCTCAAACTTTGATTTATTGTTTGGGTACAGCTGCACATTTAGTTACCAATTTTTTTTTTTTTTTTTTTTTTGAGACGGAGTTTCACTCTTGCTGCCCAGGCTGGAGTGCAATGGCGTGATCTTGGCTCACTGCAACCTCTGCCTCCCAGGTTCAAGCGATTCTCCTGCCTCAGCTTCCCTAGTAGCTGGGATTACAGGCATGTGCCACCATGCCCGGATAATTTTGTATTTTTAGTAGAGACGGGGTTTCTCCATTTTGGTCAGGCTGGTCTCGAACTCCCGGCCTCAAGTGATCCGCCCGCCTCGGCCTCCCAAAGTGCTGGGATTACAGGCATGAGCCACCGTGCCCGGCCCCAGATTTTTTTTTTTATTTTTATTTTTTGAGACCCTGTCACTCAGACTAGAGTGTAGTAGTATGATCTCGGTTTACTGCAACCTCCGCCTCCTGGGCTCAAGCAATCCTCCCACCTCAGCTTCCCAAGCAGCTGGGACTACAGGTGCACACTACTACGCCCAGCTAATTTCTTGTATTTTTGTTAGAGACAGGATGGTCTCAAACCTGTTGCCCAGGGTGGCCTCGAACTCCTTGGCTCAAGCAATCCACCTGCTTCAGCCTCCCACAGTATTGGGATTACAGGTGTGAGCCACCACACCCGACCAGTCACCAAATATTCTTAATGACAGTATTACCACATTCACATTTCTCTTTTGTGCTCACAAGATTTCATTATGCCTTGGGGAAACCTAGTTACAGTCATTCCTTTGTAGTCCCCTGGTCTTCTCTTACCAAAGTAATTCTACCTTGAAGGGAAATGAAGTTACTCTAGCATAACTTACTTTTTTCATGAATCAGTGCTGGGCTTAAATGATTCCCTTCTACTTCTCTAAGGACTGCCAACTCATTGGTTTGCTGATCTATTAGATTTTGGCCTAAAACTGACATCTCAATTACCAGTTTATATATTCGGCGTCTAACTTATTTCTATCTCTTCCTTCTTTTCCCAGCATATGACCTCCTTCTTTGTGCATTAAATCATCTACTGAATCACTATCACAAGCACCAGAAACATAAATCAGAAATTAGCCATCATAAGAACTGCTCTTTGTGGATATAGTAAATTCAACAGAGAGAATAAGGTTGACTCAATGAAAAAGATTAAGAATATGGGTAGGATCCAAATAAAATATCTAATTTAAAACACAGAATTACAAGCTCTTGAGGAGAGACTTCTGATTAGCCACTCAATAAGCAGAGATACAGAAAAGGAAAAAGCAGCAGAAGTGATGATGGGAAGATGCTGGGGAGGGAGATGTTTTGGCTAACTTTACTTTGATTTTATTAAATAACTGTGTGACAATTACATAAATTTGGGAAGAATGCATTGAGGTATCATGTCAAAAAGCTAGAAGCTGATATGTCTGTCCTTTAAAAGTACAATGAGATTCCAGCCAGCTGGACCTGACAATGGATAGAGAATGTGAACCAGACTTCTGCTGTTTCCACACCCCTACCACTCCATGATCAATGGAATGGTCCCCAGGAGGAAGAAATAAGGACAAAGCTGGATTTCTTAGTACATCTGGCAGAGACCCTGGGAGCAAGCTTTATGGAACAAAAAGCTGGATATAAAAACCAAACCTTTCAAAAGGTTAAGTTCACAGCACTGTTGTAGAAGGCAACTTAGGATTCTAGCAGTGAGCTGGTTATGGAGATAGAGACTCCCTGGTCCTTTATCTATTAGGAGTCTGGATCTGAAAAGACAGATTGGTCCTCAGCCTTATGAACATGAAATGTCTTTGATCCAGTTCTTTATTTTGGCATAACCAGCATACCACATGAAGCCTAAAAAAATGTAGCTGTGAACTAAAAAAGAAGTGAGCAAAGAATGACCTTTAAGAAAGCCAAAGGAGAACTCCCTGACACCAGTTCATTCAACAATGAAGACTGAGTCCGGCTCAGCAGGATTTTTATCAAATCAAGGGAAAAGTCTTTGTGACAGTAACATCAGCACACATAAGCACAGCTGGCCCTTATTGTAAAACTGGACCGCCATCACCTAGCTTTCACACTCTGCAAAGGCAAGCCAGGAAAAGTTTTTAGAGTGGAAGTTAATGTGCAGATTGTCTAGGGCAGCTGACATGCCAGTTTCCAAGAACTTCTACATTGAATTGTAGCTGGGTTCAAACCTAGTGCACATAAACAGCTTGCAAAGTGTCACAAATTTAGAATTCCTGCCCCATCACATCAGTTAGGCTCCCTTCACTTCTCTTTTCCCCAGGAAGCAAAATATCAGGCAACTTGGAACAGTGAGGCCTACAGTTTTTCTGGCTCCAGTAACCTGCCTCTGCCCCCTTCCTTCAGTTGGCCAAGGGAAATAGGAGACAACTCCAAAACTCCACCTTTTTTTTAAACCTTCTCCACCTGTACTTTTTCTTTCTTTATAAAGATATTTTTATAAAATGGGGAAAATACCAGAGAAATCACAAGAGATTAAAAAAAAAAACAGCACCAAAGGGAAGAAAAGAAAATGTATACTTATAATTAAGCCTTTCTCTTACCGGACCACCAGCAACAGCAGCAGCCACATTTTGAAACTTGTTAAAAATGAAAATAATGGAGCCTCACTCCAGGCCTACTGGAATTAGAAACTCTGTGGTTGGGCCCAGCAATCTGTGTGTTAACAAGCCTGTCAGGTGATTGTGACACACACAAAGAATCACTGGCAGAGTGGTTAAGAGCACGAATTCTGCCACCATATTGCTTGGGCTTGGATCCTGACTGCCTTTCATCAACTGTGTTATCTTGGGCAAGTGATTTCATTTCTCTGTGCTTAGTTTCTTCATCTGTAAAATGGGGATGATAACAGTACTTACCTGATAGAGCAGCTGTGAGCACTGAATCATTAATACATATAAAGCTTTCAGAACAGTTGTATACATAGTAAACATTAATTATTAAATGAATTAAGGTACATAAGTTAAGGTACATAAAGCATTTAATTATTATTGTTACTATTATTTCTTATTTATGATCTAGTTTTTGAGGTTCAGTGAGACATAATCCAAATTTCTCACAAACCAAGAGAAAGTCCATATTCCTCTATGGCAAACTGGACCCTCTTGGTATAAAGAAGCTAATCAGCTTTGGTATTAATGTGATAAAAAAAAGAAATACAGCCAGATGCGGTGGCTCACGCCTGTAATCCCAGAACTTTGGAAGGCCGAGGTGGGTGGATCACCTGAGGTCAGGAGTTTGAGACCAGACTGGCCAACATGGTGAAATCCCATCTCTACTAAAAAACACAAAAATTAGCCAGGTGTGGTGGTGGGCACCTATAATCCCAGCTACTTGGGAGGTTGAGGCAGGAGAATCAATTGAACCCGGGAAGCAGAGGTTGCAGTGAGCTGAGATTGTGCCACTATACTGCAGCCTGGGCGACAGAGCAAGACCCCCTCTCAAAAAAAAGAAATATAGAACTTGTATTTTAGGAACTTAATCCAATGTAATTCTTTGCCTCTAAAGCTCTAAATTCAGACATTACACTTGCCAAGGAAGAAATGCATGATTCATCTCTATGTCTGCCTTATGGACTAATTCCTCACACTTCGAGTCCATAAATGGCCTGGAGGCCAACAGGGAACTCTTTCATTATCTCTTGTAATTCTTTTTTTTTTTTTTTTTTTTCTGAGATGGAGTTTCACTCTTGTTGCCCAGGCTGGAGTGCAATGGTGCAATCTCGGCTCACCGCAACCTCCGCCTCCCAGGTTCAAGTGATTCTCCTGCCTCAGCCTCCCTTGTAGCTGGGATTACGGGCACGCGCCACCATGCCTGGCTGATTTTGTATTTTTAGTAGAGACAGGGTTTCTCCATGTTGGACAGGCTGGTCTCGAACTCCCGATCTCAGGTGATCCGCCCGCCTCGGCCTCCCAAAGTGCTAGGATTACAGGCATGAGCCACCACACCCGGCCAGTATCTCTTTTAATTCTTTACATCTTATCATGATATCATGGTTCGCTTCTAAAATACTGTAACTATTAAACCATATGCTTTTTAAACCATAGCTAAAATGACAGATCACATTTACAAGAAGTGTTGATTGACCAACACCTGTGTGATTAGGCCATTGTAAAAATTCATCAGGACCAAAAAATCCACAATTTCTATCCCCTAGAGTCACAAGATTTCCCTTATGTAATTCCCCACCAACTAAAACAACCATTCTTACTTGCCTGACCTGCTGGTTTATATCTATTTAAAAAAATAAGTTCTATTCAGGAGAGTCAGCATACAAAGCAAGACAAAATTTAGTCTAAATTGTAAATATTATACAAGTCATATATTGATAGTTAGCCTCTTCAGGCTACTGATGTTTTCTGCCCACACTCAAAGCTTCTCTATGGAATTGGCATTTGACAAAAGTAAAACACTATACAAATGCATAGACTAGGGTAAAGATATTTGTAATGCTGAACTCTATCGCACCAGCCCCTAATTTTTTTTCATTTTTGTTCACAGAAAGATTCTTATAATCCACCAGTGATAGTTTCTTTTCAGAAATATTTCCATCTGTCCTTTGTACGCTATCACCAAAAAAACAGGTCTAGGCTGGTCTGGGACGCCATTGTGTAAAGACTGGTACTGATTTTCCTCCCTCTAAAACTAGGAAAGTTAAAGTAGAGGAAAGAACATGAGCTTTCACATCAGAAAGACCTGGACTCAAATTCTTGGGCCATCAGTTACCTCAGGTGTGACCATGGACAAATGGTATCACCTCTAAGACAATTTCATCATTTACACACGAGGATAACAATACCCACATTACAACCCTGTGTTCAGCACAAATCATACAAAGCACAGGATCTGGCATAAACCAGGCGCTCAGTAAATGTGGTTAAGCTCCCTTTTCCTTCTCCTGTTCCTCTCTTTCACAACTTACAGCACAGATTCTTATTTCAAAATAAGGGAGAAATACTTCTGAACTAATATCAAGTTGTAGGGCATTTCAAACAATATAAAAATTAATTTAAAAATTAAAAACATGCTGACTACCAAAATGTGTAAGTACTAAAAAGTGCAAAGAAGAAGGAAAAAAGTCACCCCTAGGGCCATTCTACAGCCACGGGGAGTCCTTCGGTATGTCTCATTCCAGTCTTGACCAGTACATTGTGATCATACTATTCATCTTTATCATTTAGTATTAATGTCAACACATAATGGATATATTTATGTAGTTTAAAAATAGGTGTACACTTTTTTAAATTAAGAAAAAAAACTCCTGCTACTCCTCCAACTCTGTATGCCACTGTGCTGGGAACAGGACACTAGCTTTAGAAAACAAGAGAAGGGAACAACTGGCTATGGAGAAAAATCAAGGAAGCCTTCCATGTAGAAATGACATTTTATCTGCATCTCAAAAGATGACCAGTAACTTGCCAACTGGAAAGGACATTCCGGGCATTAGGAATACTATGTAAAAGAACAGGGAACAATAGGAAAGCCAATGTGGCTAAATGGCAGGAGTGTGGAGGGTGGAGAGATGCTGTAATGAAAGCTGGTAAGATGCAGATCTCTCACATATTCAGAAATAGAAATGTTACTGGTCAAAACTTCCATTTAGGCAAAGCACTGCACAACAGCTTTAACTGGAATCATTCATGCACTTATGATGAAGCTGCAATGAAAAGGCTAAAAAAAAATTAGGTTTGGGTAATGGAAAGGGCATGAGTGAGTGTGGCTTAGAGTGACCAAGAATGAGGACAGCCAAGTCTCACCACCACTACCATCATTAGTGTGAGGGCTTTCTAAATGCCAGACTCCCAACTGAGCTCTTTATATGCCTTATCTTTGTTAGCCTTCATAGCAACCTGTTGAGACAGGTATTATCCCATCTTACACATGAGAAAACTGAGGGTTAGGTTAAGGCCTAAGGACATACAGAATAAAGGAAAGAGCTGCTTTTGAACCTAAGTCTTGATGTCTCCACAATTATAATGAGAAACAGAAAATCATAACTTAAAATAGCCCCTGCTAAAGATTTTCTAACAATTATTGCTACAGACCTTTGTTTTAGAAATACTAAAGTCATCCAAAGATCCACACAAATATGCTCAACTGATTTCTGACAAAGTTGCAAAACCAATACAATGGAGGAACAATAACCTTTCTAAACCATTTGTGTATTAACAAATGAAGTTGGAGCAATTGAACATACATAGGCAAAGAAGGAACCTCAACCAAAATCTCATACCTCATACAAAAATTAACTCAGATTAGATCACAGATTTAAATATAAAATGAGCCAGGCCAGGCGGCTCACGTCTGTAATCCCAGCACTTTGGGAGGCTGAGGCGGGCGGATCATGAGGTCAGGAGTTCGAGACCGGCCTGGCCAATATGGTGAAACCCCATCTCTACTAAAAATACAAAAATTAGCCGGGAGTAGTGGTAGACCCAGCTACTCGGGAGGCTGAGGCAGGAGAATCTCCTGAACTTGGGAGGTGTGGTTGCAGTGAGCCGAGATCATGCCACTGCACTCCAGCCTGGGTGACAGAACGAGGCTCCATCTCAAAATAAAATAAAATAAAATAAAATAAAATAAAACAAAACAAAACAAAACAAAATAAAATAAATATAAAATGAGAAACTATAAAATCATCCCAAAGATGACTTCTAAAAACATTTCAAACAAAGGAGATGCTTCCATTTCAGTTGTATGCCACATGAGGACAATGATGAGAAAAAGAAGAGGAGGTGCCAGGCACTGCGCTAAATGTTTCTGTGCTTTATCTCACTTTAACCTTGCCTCATGTTACAGATGAGGCAACCGAGGCATAGCTAACTGCAGAATCTGAGCACTCATCTGCTCTGCAGTGCTACCTGCCTTATTGCTACCATTGCCCTACATGTGGTGGCTGCTCCTCTGAAATGGGAAATAGTTGACAACAAAAAATAAGATTTCATTTCCTTCTTGTGTAAGATGAACTTTTAAAGGTGTCTCAACAAAGTTTAAATCTAGATGGATGTGAAGATCCAGCTGAACCAGGAACTTCATTTAGTAACCCCCTTTCCTTCTCCCTCCTTGGATGAATGGTTAGGCCAAGAGGCATATGACTGTTCTTGACCAGCTGGAAGTCATAAGCTCAGGGAGCCCTTCAGCTCTGAACAGTATATTTACATCTCAGTTCCACAGTGGGAAGAGTGGACTTCCAAGAGAAACAAAGGTCTAAGCCTCCAAATAAGTGCATGCACTTCCACACTGGCATCTAGGAGGGCTTCAGACTAGAGGGTTTTCAAGTAAACGCGATTATTACTGATGGAAAGAGAATCCTATCTGTCACAAGGAGGTTCTCAACTCCTTTCAAGTTCCTCTCAGGACAGCAAGGGGAGAAAATATCCTGGACTGGTCAGGCAGGCTGCTCTCTGTCCACAGAAAAGAAATTTGGGCATACTGAAAGGAGTTTTAGCAAGCAGGTGCTTTGCTGTTCAAAACTTGCCTCCACCTTTCTTCTTTTTGCTATGGAGGCAAAAAGGGCACTGAAATATACCAGGATTTCTTCAAAGTGGACACCACCTTTGAGGCTGACTCAAAGGAAGTGTCCAGGTATGGAAGGGTTAAGGCGTGTCCTGTGCTGTCAGCCCTTGATTATTATCACTTTGAAAAGCCGCTGGGTTTACAGGAAGAGTGTGAGAATACTGCAGCTTTCCTAGCCAACATTTGGTTCCCATTACCGTGAATAATCTCTTTCCTCCCTCCTTTCCCCAACCCCCACCCATTTTCTACTTTTTCCACATTTTACATTAAAAGTACATCAAACACTTTTCTTCCTTTTTAATATTTTCCTTAAGCTTTTTTCATTCAGTTTGCTGGGTTCTATAACTTTTTCTGGTTATTCATTACTTAGGAAGGGGAGAGGATCAGGCTCCCTGGGTAAAATCAATCAAAAACAAAACCAGGAGAGAAAAGACCTAAGCAGCGTGGAGGGAAGATGAACTTGACTCACAGGGATTCCTTCTAGTCTTAAGGAACATTAAGAAAATAAAGAGCCCACGGAGAACCCTTTACCCTCCTGCTTCTCGGCCTCCTCTCAGTTGTACTCCTGCCCCAAACAAAACACCCTTGAAGTAATATATCTGAAGATAGGGTCCACTCCTCATTTCATCATCAGTAAAAGTGGGAGAGCGACAGTCCAGAGGAATAGACAGAAAGGTCAATGGTATGTAATGCTGGCAAGGGTGTGGAAAAAGGGCATGTTTCTGTACTCCAGATTGGAGGATATACTGGGATAGGCTTTTTGGATGCCAATTTGACAGCATCTATAAAAATTCAAAGTGGACATTTGATCCAACAATTCCACTTCTAGGAGTTTATCCTACAGAAATACACACATGCACAAAGATCTACGTATAAGGAGTTCCCTACAGATGCCTCATCAGGATACGGCTTAGTGCTTCTTAATAGAAGGATGGAAAAACAAATTATGGCACATTCATACTTTCAAAAACGACATAGTGGTTAAAAATATTTAAGTCAGTTTATATGAACAGACTGAAAAACATGGAGACATATTAGGATAGAAAAACATCACAGAAAAATACATGAAAAAATATACAAACCAACCTTTTAAGTATAGCTACCTCTGAGAAGATTTTATTTGCCACCTAATCTTTCCATATGTGTATTTTTTAGACTACTGTAACATGTGGCTACATGTGTGTACCACTTGTACAACTATTTTTTTTAAGTATGGACATAGATATTTCAGTCTACAGAAAATAAAAAAAAGTAAATATGTAGATCCCTTCCCAATCCCCCGATTTACAGCCCCATGTAAACTGTCCTGAACTGGAAGAAATTTAAAAATTAGAACCTTTCTTAACTTCACAACATGTACTAAGTCAGACTTAGGGAAGTAGATCATATGGAAAATTATCAAGGGAATCACCCAGAAAGTCAGACCAGATGACAAAGAAAGGAATAAATAGGAAAGAAGAAATAATGACTCTAAGAGGCCCAAAAGTTCCCAGTCACAGTCATGGTAATGAAACCAGTGAATACGAATCTAACCAAAAACTGTATTCTAAGTATACTGCAAGGATGGAAGGAAGGAAAGAATGCTGTGGGTATGTGTGTTTGTGTGGGTGTGAAGGGTGTAGAGTAAGAGTGCAAAATCTTTTTCTGACAGAAAGTTAATAGATAATATCTAAACCTAAAATCCAAAAATGGCAGAATAAACATGATTTAGAACTATGAAGGTGATACGGTTTGGCTGTTTGTCCCCTCCAAATCTCATGTTGAAATGTGATTCCCAATGCTGGTGGTGGGGCCTGGTGGGAGGTGATTGGATGATGGGGGTGGATCCCTCAGGCATGGCTTAGCACCATCCCCTTGGTGATGAGTGAGCGCTTGCTCAGTTCGTTCACACGAAATCTGGTTGTTTTAAGAGTCTGGGATCTCCCGTTTCTTGCCCCTGCTCTTGCCATGTGACATACCTGCTCCCCTTCACCTTCTGCCATGATTGGAAGCTTCTGAGGCCCCTACCAGAAGCAAATACTGGCACCACACTTCCTGTATAGCCTACAGAACTGTGAGCCAATAAAACCTTTTTTCTTCATAAATTACCCAGCCTCAGGTATTTCTTTATAGCAATGCAAGAATGAATTAACACAGAAGGTAAATAACAGAAAAAGCAGTTACAAGAAAGTTGAAAGCAATTATTTCTAGGGCATGGAAATTAAGGTTGGGTAGCAGTGGGAAGAGAAAAGGCAAGGGATTCCCATTTTCATTATAAACCCTATAGAATGCCTTAACTTTTAAAACTATAGTTCTGAATTATTGTGGGAACCAGCCTTTGAGATGGCCCCCAACGATCCCCATACCTCCTAGTATTCCTAACATCCTTGCGTAGTTCCCTCCCACACTGAATAGGGCTGGCCTGTATAAACCAACAGAATGCTGAAAAAATGACTGTGTCTGAGGAACAGAAAGCCAAACACCGCATGTTCTCACTCCTAAGTGGGAGGTGAACAATGAGAACACAGGGAGGGGAACATCACACACCGGGGCCTGTCAGGGGGTGGGGGGCAAGGGGAGGGAGAGCATTAGGAGTAATACCTAATGCATGCAAGGCTTAAAACCTAGATGACAGGTTGATAGGTGCAGCAAACCACCATGGCACATGTATACCTACATAACAAACCTGCACGTTCTGCATATGTATCCCAGAACTTGAAGTATACATATATAAAAAATGACTGTGTCTGAAAGACACAAGCATAAAAGCTATAACTATTACAACTCTTAGAACACATGTGGCAAAAGCTGTATGACACTGGATTTGGCAATGATTTCTTGGATGTGACACCAAAGGCACAGGCAACAACAACAACAAAATAGACAAATTAGACTTCATCAAACTTAAAAACTTTTGTGGATCAAGGGTTACATTGTCAACAGGGTAAAAGGGTATTCAATGGAATGGGAGAAAATATTGACAAATCATATATCTGTTGAGGGTTTAATAGCCAGGATATATAGAGAACTCCTAAAGCTCAACAATAACAAAAACAACCTGATTAATAAATTGCCAAAAAACTTAAACAGAGATTTCTCCAAAGAAGATACACAAATAGCCAATAAGCATCAAAAACATGCTCAACATTCCTAATCATTAGGGAAATGCATATCAAAACTACAGTGAGATCACACCCGTTAGGATGGTGATATGATTTGGTTGTGCCCCTCCCCAAATCTCATCTTGAATTATAATCCCCATAATCCCCATGTGTTGTGAGAGGGACCGGTGGGAGGTAATTGAATAATGGGCACGGTTTCCCCCGTGCTGTTCACATCATAGTGAGTTCTCACGAGATCTGATGGTTTTGTAAGCATCTGGCATTTCCCCTGCTGGCACTCATTCTCTCTCCTGCCGCCCTGTGAAGAGGTGCCTTCTGTCATGATTGTAAGTTTCCTGAAGCCTCCCCAGCCATGTGAAACTGTGAGTCAATGAAACCTTTTTTCTTTATAAATCACCCAGTCTCGGGTACTTCTCCATAGCAGCATGAGAACAAACTAATACAGATGGCTACTATCAAAAAGACAGAAAATAAGTTTTGAGGATGTGGCAAAATTGGAACCCTTGTGCACTGCTGGTGGGAATGTGAAGTGGTGCTGCAGCTATGGAAAACAGTATGATGGTTCCTCGAAAACTTAAAAATAGAATTACTCTTCTTCTCCAAGACAAAATCTCAAATGGCAGATGACACCAGCGCTATGGGAGGGTCTAGACCGCAGGTGTGCTCAGGGCCCACACCACAGAGCTCACAGAAGCAAGACCAAGTACAAGGAGTGTGTCACCATCCGCATGCTGGGCTGCCTGGACAAGAACATGAAAATCAAGTCCCTGGAGCAGATCTCTCTCTTCTCCCTGCCCATCAAGGAATCTGAGATCATCGACATTTCTGGGGACACCCTCTCACAGGTGAGGTTTTGAAGACTATACTTGTGGCAAAAGCAGACCCACACTGGCCAGTGGACCAGGTTCAAGGCATTTGTTACCATAAGGGACTACAATGGCTACATCAGTCTGGATAATTGCTCCAAGGAGGCGGACAGTAGCATCTGTGGGGTTATCACCCTGCTCTCCATCATCCCCATGCAGCAAGGATCCAATGGAACAAGATCAGCAAGCTCCACACTCTGCACTGCAAGTGACTGGCTGCTGCGGCTCTGTGCTGATGTGCCTCACCCTCGCCCCCAAAGGCACTGTCAACATCTTAGGTCCTGCACTCAAAAAGCTGCTGCTTATACCTGGTACTCATGACTGCTACACCTTAGCCAGGGGTTGCACCACCCTCTGAGCAACTGTGCCAAGACTACCTTTGATGCCACCTCCAAGATCTTTTTGTTTTTTTTTTTTTGAGACGGAGTCTCGCTCCATCACCCAGGATGGAGTGCAGTGGCACGATCTCGGCTCACTGCAAGCTCCGCCTCCAGGGTTCACGTCATTCTCCTGCCTCAGCCTCCCGAGTAGCTGGGACTACAGGTGTCCACCACCACACACAGCTAATTTTTTTTTTTTTTCTATTTTTAGTAGAGATGGAGTTTCACTGTGTTAGCCAGGATGGTCTCGATCTCCTGACCTCATGATCCACCCACCTTGGCCTCCCAAAGTGCTGGGATTACAGGTGTGAGCCACCACGCCCAGCCGCCACCTCCAAGATCTTTAGCTATCTGACCTCTTACTTCTGGAAAGATTGTGTTTACCAAATCACCTAATTGGGAATTCACTGGCCATCTAGTAAAGACCTGCACCAGAGCCTCTGTGCAAAGGATGCAGGCTCCAACTCTGGCTACCATGTAGTGCTTTTATATAGGAAAAATAAAGTGAATAATTAATTTAAAAAAACACAATTAACATACTATCCAGCAATTTAACTTCTGGGCATAAACCAAAGGAACTGAAAACAGGGAGGTGAAAAGATATTTGTACACTCATGTTTGTAGCAGTTTATTCACAATAGCCAAAAAGCAGAAGTAAACCAAGTGTCTATCAAGATGAATGAGTAAACAAAATGTAGTGTGTGTGTATGGGTGTGTATACATATATACACACACACACTCCCATACACACACACATATATCTAGATATACACATATATATATGTTTAATGAAATATTTTATATTATTCAGCCTGTAAAAGGAAGGAAATTCTGACACATTATAACATAGATAAACCCTGAGGATATTATGCTAAGTGAAATAAGCCAGTCACAAAAAGATAAGTACTCTATGATTCTACTAATAGAGATACCTAGAGTAGTCAAAATCATATAGATAGAAAATACCACAGTAGTGTCCAGGCGTTGGGGGGAGGGAAGAATGTAGAGTTATTGCTTAATGAGTATAGAGTTTCAGTTTATCAAGATGAAAAGAATTATGGAGATGGATGGTGGTGATGATTGCACAATGTGAATGTACTTAATGCTATTGAACTGTGTACAGTTCAAATGGTTAAAAATGGTTAAGATGGTAAACTTTATATTGTGTTTTACCACAATTTTTAAAATAATAATTTTTTAAATGATGATATGTGATTTCCAAGGCTAGGTCATAAAAGACATTGTGGCTTCTACCCTACTCTCTGTTGAATTACTCATTCTGAGGGAAGTCAGTTGCCATGTCATGAGGTCATGTAAGCAGCCAGTGGAGAAGTCCATGTGGAAAAGTCCATGTAGTGAGAAACTGAGGCCTCCTGTCGACAGCCAGCATGAACTCATTACGCATATGAGAGTGAAACATCATGGAAGTGGATCCTCTAGCCCCAGGTAAGCCTTCAGATAACTGCAACCCTCTTGGCTGACACCTTAACTGCAATGTTATAAGAGAATTTGAGCCAGAAACACCCAGCTAAGCTGCTCCTCAATTCTTACAGAAACCTACAGAGGCTGAAATAATAAATGTTTATTATTTTAAGCCACTAAATGTTACAGTAATTTGTTTTGTTGCAATAGGTAACCAATGCAATCACATTGATAAATTTTAAAAAGAAAAAAATCAGCTTTAAAGCATTATCATGTCATAGTGGCCTGCTCTCCTAACACAGCACAATTTAGGGCATATTTTCATGATGGTCTATCACTGGATTACAACACATCTCTTCATTAAAGTCTTGGGAAAGAGGCTTCAACTTTTCTGTGTTGAGAAAACTTCACAGGTGTGTAAAGTTTGATCAGTATGTATAATATATTTGATTACATATATTTTATTTTTATTTTTCATTTTTTTGCATACATAGCAGGTGTATATACTTATGGGTTATATGAGATATTTTGATAAAGGCATGCAATGTGTAATAATCACATCAGGGTAAATGCAGTATCTATCCATCACCCCAAGCATTTATCCTTTGTGTTACATACAGTCCAATTACACTCTTTTAGTTACTTAAAAATGTATAATTAAATTATTTTTGACTACAGTCACCTTGGTATGCTAGCAAATACTAGGTCTTACTCATTCTATTTTTTTTTTGTATCCATTAACCATCCCCACTTCCCCCTGTCACCCCTAACCCCCATTACCCTTCCCAATCTCTGGTAACCAGCATTCTACTCTTTATCTCCACAAGTTCAATTATTTTGATTTTTGGCTCCCACAAGTAAGTGAGAACATGCAAAATTTGTCTTTCTGTGCCTGGCTTATCTCACTTAACATAATGACCTCCAGTTCCATCATGTTGTTGCAAATGACAGGATCTCATTCCTTTTGTGACTGAACAGTACTCTACTATGTGTATGTATCACATTTTCTTCATCTACTCATCTGATGATGAATACTTAGGTTGCTTCCAAATCTTAGCTATTGTGAACAGTGCAGCAACAAACACAGGAGTGCACATATCTCTTCAATATACTGCTTTCCCTTCTTCTGGGCAGATACCTAGGAGTGGGACTGCTGGGTTGTATGGTAGCTCTATTTTTAGTTTTTTGAGGAATCTCCAAACTGTTCTCCATAGTGGTAGTACTAATTACATTCCAACTAGCAGTGTAGGAGCCTTCACTATGCTCCACATCCTCGCCAGCATCATTACTTGTCTTTTGGATATAAGCCATTTTAACTGGGGTGAGATGGTATCTCACTGAAGTTTTGATTTGCATTTCTCTGATGATCAATGATGCTGAGTATTTTTCATATACTTGTTTGCCATTTATATGCCTTCTTTTGACAAATGTCTGTTCAGGTCTTCTGCCTATTTTTAATTGGATTATTAGTTTTTTTCCTACAGAGTTGTTTGAATTCCTTACATATTCTGATTATTAATCTCTTATCAGATGGTTAGTTTGCAAATATTTTCTCCCTTCTGTGGGTTTAACTACATATTTTAATACAACATAATGGTTCTCTTTGTCAGATGAAATGTTGAGCTGGTTGGCTCCTGTCACATGGTATAGAGCAGAGTCCATTTGCAATACACAAGAAGAGAAGCATAACATCAACCTGGTGACAAATAGAGATTGTGTGTTTACTACAGTCTGAAGAAACTTTGTCCTGTGAGTATATTAGAGTCTAATGAGGGCAATAAATAAATAGCAATACTCAAAACAGCCACATGGTCCTGAAGGATGACTGAATGAGGAGTATAACTATAGACACCTAATGGACACTGGGAGACAATGCTCTACTTTAATATTGATTCCACCAGGTGAAATTTACTGGGTTGAGTATTGTCTTGCATCTTTTGATCCCTTCAACTGTGTTGATCAAAGTTCTTGTATGTGGAAGTGTGTTGCAAAGACATGAAGAATGACAACTGCTGCCATAGCAGGTTTTTGGCCAGCTGAGTGCTAGGGTACCTTACTAGAGGAAGTCAAAGCTCAAATTGTTTTGTTTGTTTGTTTGTTTGTTTGTTTGGAGACAGGGTCTCACTCTGTTGCCCAGGTTGGAGTTAAGTGACACAATCATGATTCACTGCAGCCTCAACCTCCTGGGCTCAAGCAATCCTCCCACCTCAGCCTCCTGAGTAGCTGGAACTACAGGCACATGCTACCATGCCCGGCTAATATTTGAAATTTTTTGTAGAGATGAGGGTCTCACTATACTGCCCAGGCTGGTCTCAAACTCCTGGGCTCAAGTGATTCTCCTGCCTCAGCTTCCTTAAGTGCTGGGATTACAGGTGTGAGCCACTGTGCCCAGCCCAAAGCGCAAGTTCTAATGATGGTAAGCATGCTGAATTGTGGTTCTTGTTAAAGGAAAAAGTCCTGACCTAATCCATCTACAGAATAAAAAAGTTCTTTTTAAATGATGGTGTGTGACTTCTTGTAGTAGGCTAAAGAACTGCCCAGGTAGAAGTCCGGTCTGTGAATTTTGGGCATAGGTATGTATTTAGACTGCCTGGGATGGCAGGGAGTAAAAAATATACAGAGTAAGGGGTAGAACTGGGCTAGATCCACAATGGTAAAAAGTGTTTGCCAAATAAGAATGGGAAAGGGAAGGGGAAAGACAGTGAAAACATGAAAACATAGGTATAAAGATGCAGAAATGTTTTTTAAAAACTCCCTTGATTTCTTCATTTCACACTGATTAAAAGGGCTGACAATGGGATAAAATCCCTTTAACATGGCATACCAAGCACTTTAACTTTTCAACTTTCCCACTTTATCCTCAACCACATACTCCCCTACTTGAATGTGATGCTCCCACAACACTGCACTTCAGGTATGCTCTTCCATACCTCCCTGCCTTTGCACAAATCTCCGCCATTTTCATCTAGTAAAAAACCAATAATTCACTCTCTGCAAAATCAATCCTGGTTTTCCTCTGATTTAGCTTGTTCCTCTAGGCCCCACATGCCTTTTACTAGCATGTTTTTTGTACTGTGACTTATTCTTCACAGTGATGATTTCTTCCCTACTGGACTAACCATTGAGACAGTGAGTTCATCATTACTGGTCTTTGTACACTCAGAGCCTGGTAACATTTTGGTCATGTAATGTCTGTTGAATGAAAAATGAATGAATAAATGAACATGCCTCTATCTGGGATAATAGCATACTTCACCTAAAGAAAGGAAACTCAAACAAATAACCCTTTGAGGAGTCAGAGAGATCAAATGGAAAATTTATCAGGCAGAGAACTAGAAGCCCTGGATTCCACTCCTTACTTTATCACTAGGTAAGCATGAGAATTTGCACACTCTACTTCATTTCTCTGGGTCTCCATTTTTAACATTTCTAATGTATGGGTATGGGTAAGGGTAGATGACATAGAAATGTTTACATGGATTCCCACTTACTGGGCACGTACTCTATGGCAGGCATTATATATAGTAAAAGTGCTTTTCTTATGCCATTTAGTTTTCATTTGCTCCTGAGAACATCCCTAGGAAGTAGGCATTTATTCTCTATTTTAGAGATAAGAATATTAAGTTCAAAGAACTTGCCCTAGGCAAAATAGCTAGTGAGTGGCTAAAAAAAGAAGGAATCCAAATTGGTCTGCCTCTTAACTACATGCTTTCAAACATTAGGTCATAACACTTACATGGAAGATCTTCGATATTTTAAAATAAAAAAAATTGGGAGCTTCTCAGGCCATATGATAGTCCCAAAATGTGGCAGCACTTATTTATCCTATTCTTCTCTGAGAAGGAGCTGCCTTCAGATGCTGGGGACTGGGTGACAGGAGGGTGAAGATGTACCGAACAGCAGAGTCTTGAAATATGAAACAGCCTTTCTGGATGAAAGGTCAGAACTCAGAGAACGAAAGAAAATGCAGGATGAAATGATATGAAAGAGGGAGGAGGCTAGGGGATGGCCTGGCAGAAAAATAAGCACAGGGAGAGGAACGCAGGAAGTGAGGCTGAGAGGTGCTGATAAGGGCATGGGGCTTGGCTGAGGAGAATGATGAAGGCACCTGGTGTTCCTGATGGGCAGAGCTGCGGGAGGCAGGTGGCCACGCTGAGGAGACTGGCCCACCAGTACAGCAATTCCCGCTGAAACTGGGAACTGGATGGACAAGCCTGCTGCCCTAAGAACAGAGGTGGTTAAAAGAGAGAGCTCAGCCTGGGCCTGATAGGAGAAGAAGGGAGACTTAAGAAAACAACCACCCCACAGCTCCAAAAGGAGGAGCTTGCAGACTGAAAGAGAAGCGATGACAGACAGTGCCTGGAATGGACCGTTTAATGCTTTAAACCTGTGCCAAACTAACTGAGTAACGTGAGACTAAACTGGTGATTTACCTCAATTCTGGGAGAGATTAGTCTTTGTACATCGGCAGCAGAAACAAACATTACTATTTTATAGTGATGAGTGTTATTAGTACTGAAAAGACCCAATCATGTGTAATACTTTACAGTTTACAAAGCACGTTCACATATGGGATCTCATCGAATTCCCATGACAATCCAGGCATCACTTTCCACATAGCAAAATTAGGCTTTGGTTTTGTCAAATGATTTGCCCCAAGTCAGGTGGACCTGTGGCTGGCACCTAGGTCTTCCCATTCCTGGTCCAGAAATAAAATGTAGCTTACATCTCAGGAAAGAAAGAAAAGACAGTTAACTACACAAAAGAACATACACTAAACTCCGAGAGTGGAGTTCAGAGGAAGCAGCAAATTTGGGGGCAATTGGGAAAGGCTTCAGGTGACTGTAGACTGGATAGGAGAAAGGGATTACTAAGAAGGCAGGGAAAGCACAGAGGCTGGGCCTTAAAGGTGTATTCTACCTCCCCAGCCCTTCTCCTCCAGCATAGCAGCTGCAAGTGCAATCATTTAACAAATATTTATTGTTGACATTGTGCTCAATGCCAAGGAGCCAATGGTGAGCAAGAAGTTTACTCTGAGACCAGCAGTATCCGGGTTACTTGCTGTGGGGGTGGGGGTGTGTGTCATCTGTTCTTTCGTAAAAAGGGAGAAGTTCTAGCCTCAAGAGTGACACCCCAATCTATCACAGAAATGTAGGACCTCCAGTTTTTCAAACTGTACTATGTTCCCAAAACAGAAGAGGACTCTACCCCTCCGTTGGCAAGTGATCAGAAACGGACAGAGCTGAAAACAGGGCATTAAAGTGGCTATTTCATATCAGAGTCATAGTAAAAAGCAAAAGCCAAAAGCCAAAAGGGTTGTGTTTAGTTCCTTACTCCACAATTTTATATTTGCCCTCCCAACAGCCAAGCTCCATTGTGTATACTATGCACACACAGTAAAGAAAAAATGTGATATGGGAACACAGGGAGAGTCTGCAAAGTGCTGAAACAGCATACCTGGCAGCTGCTAAAACAAAACTTCAAAGATTTGGCGTCTCTGAAAAGCCATCAGGCAGGACCCCACCCACTCCCCCTGCTAGCCACGGCTTCCCTGGGAGCTAGTACACGTAACCACTTCCGCATGTTTGGCTCTGTTCCCCAGAGTTACAGCAGCTCTAGAAGCCATGTCAGAACCTCCAGCCAGGCAGGTGGGGGTGGCGGTGGCTGTGGGCAGTAGAGGGAGGGTAGAGAAGCAAGACTCCCCCAACATCTAGCCATGGACACATCTCAGAAAATAAAAAGATAATGCTGGGATCTGCTTTAAAAACCCCTTCCTCTCAGTTGGCCTAGCTCTGATAGGTTAAATACTAGTTACACTGAAGCTCTGATCTTGTGAGATTCCCAAGGCATTAGAATATTCCCCTTCCAGGACCACAAATTAGTTCAAGAACAGCATCTGTAGTAAATCTCCAGATCTAAACAAAAGAAGCTCAAGACCTACAGAAGATCCTAAGAGGATATCAACAATGTACCTTTCTTAGAAACTCATTCCTTTTTACTTTTTATTTCACTAACCAAGTTTGAGTCTTTATTACATCTTCTGGGTCAACTATCCAGTCCTGAGCTGTCCAATATGGTAGTCATGAGCCACGTAAGCTCGTTTTGAGCTTTTGACTTGTGGCTTTTATGACTGAGAAACTGAAATTTTCATTTTATTTAATTTTAATTAAAACTTAAATATACACATGTGGCTCGTGGCTACCATACTGGACATCATGGTGAATTATATCTCTCAGGAGCATGATTCCAATAGATGAAAGGCATTAAGGATGAGAAATCCTAATAAGATCTGCTTGGGACATCAGGGAAGGTTGCAGGAAGACTGCAATAAACTGAGCCCTGTGTGAGAACAGGATATCCATTCACTCATGCTTTTACTCAATATTTGTACATCAATAAGTTCCTACTGCTTACCAAGGCACTGGGATACAATAATGAATAAGACAACATACACTTAAGTGAAAGAGTGATAGAAAGTAAACAGTAAACAAATAGAATAAGTGCTACAGAATGGCATAAGTGAGGATGTGGTGATGGGAAAATATACAAGGCTTATATATTTGTGTTCCAAAATATTATCTTTCATGTTTCATTAATTATTTTAATGAAAAAATAAAAACTGTATATATTTATGGTATACACCATGATGTTTTGGAATATGTTATACATTGTGGGATGGCTAAATTGAGCTAATTAACACATGCTTTACCTTACATATTTTTGTGTGTGCTGAGAAGAGTTAAAATCTACTCTCTTAGTGATTTTCAAGTATATAATACATTGTTATTAATTATAGTCACCATGTTGTACAATAATAGGCTTACTTTTGATCTGTTGACTTGGCTGACACTGAACTTATGAAGAAGAATGCAAGTGGTAAGGTGGACTGGACCCAGATGCAGGTGCTCACTTTGGAAATCAGGCCACAATTTTTGTTTTTGTTTTTGTTTTTCACATTGTGGTGTGTTGGATCCTTTTCCTTCTTCTTGAAAAAATTTGTTTTAATTATCCAAGTGACCAAAATGTCAATACAGGAAATATTTAGAATACAGAAAACAAATTAGAAAGACTCAGACTTGAGAGGTAGAAGCCTAATTATGCTATATCCCCAACAATTTATCCTTAGCAATACAGCCAATATCTCACTATTTCTCTAACTTTTCTACTATTTCTCATTTAGTTGTGAACTTGGAAGAAAGGAGAATGATTAATGATACTTCCTAATTCCCCCACACCAACTTCTAGGCTTTTATATGAACTAAAAAATCTCCTTTACGGATATGCCAGCTTGATTTCAGTTTCTATCACTTGAAACTCCAAGTGTTTTGACTAATACATTATTTCTGACACACTGTCTGAGCCAGACTGGCTCCCACTTACTGTCCCTGCAAATACCTTAAATATCTTGCACATTATCTTCTTTTTTGTTCCATTTCTTAACCTATCCGTAGCCTATACACCTGGGACTGAATTTACACCCTACCTTAAACTCTTCCTCTGCAGAACCTTATATTTTCACCCAAGTCTTTAGTATCTTTTTTGAATTGTGAACTCATCTGAACCCATATGCTCTTTTAAAATCACTCGCTTTCTGTGTTACATGAAAAAAAAAAAAAAAGTAAATGTATAGGACAGTATTACTCAACCTGAGGATGGCAAGAATGAAGACCTTTATGATGATTCACTTCTGCTTAATGAATAGTAAATGTATTTCTCTTCCTTATGATTTTCTCAATAAATTTTTTTATTCTCTAGCTTACTTTTTAGTAAGAATACAGTATATAATACATACATTATATACCATATGTGTTAATTACTGTTTATCCATAAGGCTTCTGGTCAATAATGAGCTATTACTAAGAGTATGGATTACAATTCTTTGATCCTCTCAGATTCTCACATAGTGCCAAGCACCAAATATATGTGCAATTATCTCTTAAGTGATGAATATCAGCCTGTTGGCCTATCCAAGCCCCATCTACCCTTCCAGGTTCAACTCACACCTTTTCTTTTCCATGAAGTTTTCGCCAGCTTCTCCAGCCAGAGTGATAAATTTCTCCTCGGAACTCTCACCACTTAAGAAAAGGTTTTCATCTTCCTATTCAATAATTAAGCACATATTGCTTTATAGTACTTGCATTAGTAAATTTTATGATCAGTAATTTTCCTTCTTGAGGACAGGGATTTGTCTGATACCTCCTTCAGGGCCCAGTCTCTCACACTGAGGAGATATTCAGTAATTTTACATGTTAACTTTTTGAGGATAACATTACTGTAACAACTATCAGATGAAATCATTTCCTAGCTGAAACATTACTTACTACCAGTTTCACCCTTGCTTTTGCACATATTTTAATTTACTAAATATTTGTTGAAGAAGGTAACAAAACTCTTTTTGAAGCTTATATTTCAAATGTCAGTACTGGGCTCAAGCAGCTAGTAAGATATTTGAGAGTATTCAACAGTATAGGCAGGGTCTTTCATTTACTTAGTTTTACTTGGTGCAACCCAGTTTCAAAAGAATGTACAGTTGACCCTTGAACAATACAGGGGTTGGGGTGCCAACCCCTGCACAGTCGAAAATTCAGGTACAACTTCTGACCCCCCACAAAAACTCAACTACTAATAGCCTATTGTTGACCGGAAGCCTTACGGATAAACAGTAATTAACACATATGGTATATGATATATGTATTATGGGACTGTATTCTTACTAAAAAGTAAGCTAGAGAATAAAAAATTTATTGAGAAAATCATAAGGAAGAGAAATAATATATTTACTATTCATTAAGCAGAAGTGAATCAGCATAAAGGTCTTCATTCTCGTCATCCTCAGGTTAAGTAAGCCGAGGAGGAGGAGGAAGAGAAGGGGTTTGTCTTGCTGTCTCAGGGGTGGCAGATGATGGAAGAAAAGCCACATATAAGTAGATTCGAGCAGCTCAAACCTGAGTTATTCAAGGGTCAATTGTGATTTGATTTCCTCTAGCCTTTAAGTACATCCAATTTACTAACCTCTTTATGGCTGCCTTACCTACTATGCCAGAAAGCCTGCTTTTCTCATCTAAATCCTTTTAAATTATAGTCACATCATTGAGATGCACCCATATTTCATTCTCATCACAGAAAGATAGCAAAACTTATTTTTAAGATCAGCCAGGCCAGGTCGGGCACAGTGGCTCACACCTGTAATCCCAGCACTTTGGGAGACTGAGGCGGGTGGACTGCTTTAGCCTGGGAGTTCAAGACCAGTCTGGGAACATGGTGAAACCCCCTCTCTACAAAAAATACAAAAATTAGCCAGGCATGGTGGTGCACACATGTAGTCCCAGCTACTTGGGAGGCTGAGGGAGGATCGCTTGAGCCTGAGGAGGCAGAGGCTGCAGTGAGCTGTGATCATGCCAATGAGCTTCAGCCTGGTGACAGAGTGAGACCTTGTTTCAAAAAAAAAAAAAAAAAAAAAAAAAAAAAAAGAACCAAGCCAAATGTGGTATTGATTATTGGCTCTGAAGTGAAATTAATATGAATCTTAGCTTGATAATTCATGAAAACCATGAGTAGTCCCTTTACTGCTCCTGAAGCATACGAATGGTCCAAGCAGGACGAGAGTTTGTAACTTATAATGAACACCTGGGCCTGCCATATGTTGTGACATTTCAAATCCCTAAGCTCTCATACACTGCCTCTCTCACTAGCTTTGCACACATCACCCAAAGAACAGTTGGCTCCCTATTTAAATAAACATTTAAAATTTGGCTTTTCCTAATTATCTTTCTTTACGAGCATTTTAATGATTTATAATAACAGTTTTAATAAGTGGGTACTTACTTCACAATATAAATAAATAATGTCAACCTTAGTATTGTGATTACATATTACTGCTTTCCCTGCTATAATACTGTATTTTATTGTACGTGAGTTACGGCCAGTTGACTCTAAACTGTGTCCCAGTGTAGCAAATACCATATACCAAGCAAGTACAATTTTGTTTCTTTCAAAAAAAGGGAACTAAGACTTAGCTACTAAGAGCCTATACCAAAACTTTGTCCCACAAAGCAGCTTCAGGAAAGAGAGGACTTTTATTCCTTTGCAGATATATAGTTCTATAGTTTTATTTTATGAAAGCATAAATACAGGGAGTTTTTTCTTATTAGCATCTTAACTCCTGAGACCTCTTAAAAAAGAGCATTGATTTCTTAGCTGTACTGGGTAGGTAATACGCTGAGAGTCTTTTAGCAGCGAGAAGGGCAGGTGGGTTAGTTAAAGGATCAGGAAAACTGGCTGGTTTTCCTTCTAAATTTGTTGAGTCAATACTAGGTAAGCTTTAAATATGGATCATCAATGTTCTTCTACATGAGTCAGAAAGAAAGACTGTGTTTCATCACGCCTGTGATCTTCCCAGGCTCTTCCAAAGCTGGTAAACCAGTTAACTTGAAGGGACAGAAGCTGATAGAAAAACCATGCCAGGAGAATTAAACTAAATTATAAATAAAACAACTCCTATAATTTCCTAATTCTAAAAACAGAGTCTCATTTAGCTTAGTGTAAGGAACTTTGTCATAACCAGGCCTCTTAAAACCAAAATAATCATCCATTTTGTAGAGTTACAAAATTATAAAGTAAACAGTTAAATAAGATTAAACAGTTAAATAAAAAAATTATTTGACCAGTAAATAATTTTTGTGAAACTATGGGGTTCTCTTTTAAATCCTTACATACTCTTTTTTTTTTAACGTTGTAGTTAAAAAAACACACACATAATTTAAAATGTACCATCATAACCATTTTTATGTGTACAGTTCAGGAGTGTAAGTATATTCACATAGGTTTTGCCTCTAACAAAGACTCGTGTGTGTGTGTGTGTGTGTGTGTGTGTGTGTGTGTACGCGTATCCTAAGGAAATAGAAGGTGGTTTATCATTAATACTTCAAAGCAGTGTGGAGTGGAGTGAGAGAGGCAAACTTAACTAGAAAAACTGACACTGGCAAACTGCAAACACTGCATTCCATGCTTTATTCTGACTTGTGGATAAGAAAGATCCACGTTTTTCACTCCTGACACTCGGCCCCAGGTTCCCGAACCTATGCTACCTAGGCCCTGGTATGACGTCCAGCCAGCTATCTTTGACAGATTTCCTAAGCTTCCCAACGTTCCTTTATTAGGCAGAAGCCAATCACTTTTGCTCTTGGCACAAACACTGACAGCACTCAGCTCTCTCGGTGAAGGAGGAACTGTAGAATCTGTCACAGAGCTTGAACTGATGCAGCGTATAACTCTTGAGAGGTTACGTGTCTGGCTGAGTGAGAAAAGTAGCAGAGAAAATTCAGATGGAAGTACAGGCCTTTATCATACATGTACTGGAGAAATCGTTTTCCTCAGGGGAAGGAATAGTGAGAGTTAAGACTCAGGAGAAAGGTGAGGTAAACTTTATTTTATGAAAGAGAAGAAAGAGGCATAAGGAGTGAAATATCACTTCTACAGGACTCTGAATATGAATTTTTTTTAGTCCCCCCCACAAAAAGTAGTTTCTCTTTGATTGTGCTCTTTGGCTGGAAAGCATTGTTTATATAACAGGATAAAGTACAAAATTATAAGCTCCAAACTGCTCCAGAGAAAAGCTCTCCCAAAGCTCGACCCCCAGGATAGATGGAAAATATGAGTGTTTACTGGCTGGAACATTGAGCTGCAATGGAAATTTCAACATTCAGGAGACAGCAGAGAAAAAGGGCCTGCTGAGTAGAAAGAAGCTGACCTCCAACCAAGGGGTCAAAGAAAAAGGAAGAGTCTCTTGTTGGCCCCACTCTGATGCCTTCCCATCCTCGGCTAGAAAGGCCAGATTTCTGTTATCCAGTCCCAGGAGCGTACTGCACAGGGTGATGGCCAGAGTGATGTAAACTAGGTACTAAACTAAGTGGTGAGCAATACCATATCCCAAGCAAGTTCAATTTTAAGTTTCTTTCTTTCTTTCTTTTTTCTGGAAAGGGAACTGAGAGTTACCAAGAAACCTACACCAAAAAAGTAAAAAGTAAAAACCATGCTGGCCACTTTCACATACACAACTCAGTTTAATCTTACAACAACTTAATGAGGTGGGTTTAACTATGTGCATTGAAAAAAAGATGGGGAAATTATGGTTCAGAAAAGCTAAGCAACTTGCCCAAGGTCACACACTTAATAAGGCAAACCTAGGTCTGTCTGACTCTAAAGTCCCTTCTCTTCCCACCATACTATGCCATCTTCCTAACAGAAATTGCTGGGCCCATTTCCTATAAAGGTAACATGCTTTTCAAGAAAGAGAAGTATTTAAAGGACTATGTTCAGAATAATTCCCTTATAACAGAGGCAGAGGATAAAAACAAAACCTTGCCATTTGGCCACTAAGTAATTTTTGTGGAACTATGGAGCTCTCTTAAATCCTTACATACTCTTCTTTGTTTAAAAAAAAAAAAAAAACACATAATTTTAAATGTACCATCTTAACCATTTTTACATGTATAGTTCAGGAGTGTTAAGTGCATTCACATCATTCTGCAACAGATTTCTAGAACATTTTCATCTTTCACAGCTGAAACTCTATACCCATTAAACACTAATTCCCCCTCCCCTCTTCCCCCAGCCCTTGGCAACCACCTTTCTACTTTCTGTTTCTATGATTTTGACTACTTTAGATGTTTCGTATGAATGGATTTGTCCTTTTGTGACTGGCTGGCTTCACTGAGCATACGACCCTCAAGGTTCATCCGGGACAGGACTGACTCCTTACATGCCCTTCTTGACACCCTTTCTTCAAATTGTCTATCCCATAAAATTCAGATCTTTGTCATATGCCCCCTGCCACTGCTCTGATTGTTTCATGTGTATACACTCCCTTTCCCTGCCAGACAGTAGCCTCTTAGTGATCAAACATTATGTCTTCAAAAGTCTTTTAGGCCCTACCCAGCACCCAATACTGTGCTGAGAACATGGAAGATATACCCTAGAGAGTAAATTTTGAGATTGGGAACCATTCTGTTTTATTTACTGCTCCTCCCCAGCAACTAACACAATGCCTGACATATAGAAAATGCATAAGACATATTTTTAAAGGAAATTAACAAATTCAGTATTTCTGAGGACTGACTGAGAATGAAAAGATGAGAAGTTAGAGACCTGAATCTCCAGCAACATTTCTAAGAATAATCTAAAAGAAGGGAGGAAAGTATTATTAACTAAACTAGAATCAGAATCTCTGAAAAATGTGTACCTTAAAATTACGCAAAGCAGAATACCAAGCTATTTATAATCTATTGTTGAATAAGAGGGCAGAAGGACAGGGTGACATCGAAAATGGTTCCAACTTCTCAAGA